>NC_000005.10:114352231-114655261 GCF_000001405.40 Homo sapiens
TCCTTTTCATTTCTGTAAGGTTAGTAGTGATGCCCTCTATTTATTACCAGATTTTAGTAATATGCTCTTCTCTCTCTTTCTCTTTCTTTTTTTTTCCTGGTCAGTCTACTAAAGGTTCATCAATTTTATTGATCTTTTCAAAAACTAATTTTTATTTTCAATGATATGTTCTGTTTTTTATTGCCATTGTTAACTTCCACTCTAGTCTTCATGATTCCTTCTGCCTTGTTCTCTTCTTTTCTCATAAAGTAATATGTTACTTTTTTCTTAAAGTAATATGTTAGCTTATTGATTTGAAATATTTCATCTTTTTCCAATTTACATATTTATGGCTAAGAATTTCCCTCTATGCATGGCTTTAGGTGCATCCTGTAGGTTTTTGCATGTTGTGATTTTGTTTTCATTTATCTTTAAATATTTTCTAATTCCCATTGTGATTTCTTCTTTGATTCTTATTTAGGAGTGTGCTGTTTAATATTTACGTATTTCTGAATTTCCCAAAATTTTAAAGAATTTGTATAAATATACGAGGTACAAGTGCAATTTTGTTACAAGCATAGATTACATAATGGTCAAGTCAGGCTATTTTGGACAATGTTCCTTGTGCACGTGAGAAAAATGTGTGTTCTGCTGTTGCTGAGGAGAATGTTCTGTAAATGTCTGTGAGGTACAGTTGGTTTATACTGCTGTTAACATTTTCTGTATTCTTGTTAATCCTCTGCATAGCTGTTCTAACCATTATTAAAAGTAGACTATTAAAGTCTCTATTATTATTGAATTGGCTAATTGTACTTTCAATTCTGGCAGTTTGCTTCATGTATCTTGGGATTCTGTTTTTATGCACATATATGTATTTAAAATTGTTGTATTTTCCTGATGGACTGGCATTTTGTCCTTATAAAATTGTCTTCTTTGTCTCCAGTTACATTTTTTTTTTCTTAAAGTCCATTTTGGCTGTACTAATGTAGCCACTCCAATACTTATATGGTTGTTGTTTGCATGGTATAACAGACAGTAGATATGTATTTATAGAACTTGTTATACTAACCTATTTATTTACCTTTTCTGGTCCTCTTCATTTCTTCCTGTGAATTCAAATTACCATCTGGTGTCATTTCTGTACTTCGATATGTCTTTCTTCTACCTCAATCCTTTGTGCTGTTATTGTCAAATGTGTTAAATTTCTATATTATAGACCAAGCAGTATAATTATATATTCATTATTTTAAGGTATTTTATTTAATCAGGAGAAATTTAAAAATATGAAATTATATTGTTTTTTATAGTTACCCACATAATTACCACTGGCGCTCTTTTTCTGTGTGTGTGTAGATTCAAATTACTGTTTGATGTTATCTGCTTTCAGCCTGAAAGCTTTCTTTAGCATTTCTGGAAAGGCAAGTCTGTTAGCATTACATTCTCTCAGTTTTTATTTCTCTGGGAAACTATTTGTCTTCATGTTTGTTAACGTTACTAAATATTTTCTTAATTTACAGATTTGTTTTTCTTTCAGTGCTTTGAATATACCATCCCACTGCCTTCTGGTCACTATTGTTTAGTGATGAGAAGTCAGTGGTTGATCTTATTGGTGCTCTCCTGTACTTGGCATGTTATTTTTCTTTACCTATTCCAAAATTTTCCCTTTTTGACTATGCTGTTTCTGGGTATGGATTGCTTTAGTTTATCCTAAAGTTTGTTGAATTTCTTGGAGGTGTAGATGAATGTTTTTATCAAATTTGGAAAGTTTTCAGCTATTATTTCTTTGAATATTTTTTCTGTCTTTTTTCTCTTTTTTCTTTTGGTCTTCCATTTCATGTCTCTTGGTGCATGTAGTGGTGTCTCACATTTCTCTGAGGTGCTGGGGGTTTTCTTATTATTATGCTTTCTTTTCTCTGTTCTTCAGATTGCATAATCTTCATCAGTGTATTTTCAGTTTATTGATTCTTTTTCTGCTGGCTCAAATTTATCATTGAATTTTTCATATGGTTACTCTACTTTTCAACTCCAAAATTTCAATTAGATTCTTTTAAATAATTTCTGTTTATTTATCAATATTCTCTGTTTGATGAGTCATTCCCATCATACCTCCCTTTAACCATTCTTTATAGTTCAGAGTTGGGCATGTGAAGGAAGCTGGTTCAATTAGATATACTAGAAAATTGTTTGGAAAGTTGGGGCAGAGGATGACCTTCTTCCCTCTGAATGATTTGGGTATGAATATGAGGGCTAAAACTGCTACAGCTCTTTTTGCTACCATGAGGTAAGTTAACCTGAGGATTAAGCCAATACATATGAAGGAGGAGAATAATAAAATATCTAAGGAAACTGAAACACTGGTTGAAACACTGATGATGTCTTAACCTCTGAATCAAATAGCATTGAAGTTTTACCTAATAATACTTTCAGTTATATGAGCTAGGAAGTACTCCTTGTTAAGAAAATTTAACTTGTGAAAGTATCCAATAGTTTCAACTAATTAAAACAGGTTTTAGGAAGGACTCATCCTAAGTAGTGAGAAAAAAATGTTGTATTTATTAAATAGTAAGTTTTGTCATTAAATTTGTCTAGCATATATCTGTTGTGTTTTTCCCCTGATATTTTACATAATGTATATTGTTTTGTATGACCTAATTATTGTACATTAATAATTAAAACAGAACAAAAGTGCTAATGGATTTACAGCCATAAGACAAAACAGCAGTAATCCAGAATTAAACTCATTTTTAAGACAACCCTTGCTTAGAAGATAAATATGAATATGCAAACCTTGGTAATTTATTTACATCTGGAGTGTTTTGTTGCTGGTGACATTGTTACATTTAATTTAACTTAGCAAATTGTGGTTCTTTCCCTTTGTATGAGTAGGCACCAACTCTCTCCTGGCACTGAAACAATTATTAGGGGACTGGGATTTACAAATATTCCCAGAAAGAGAGAGAATAACATAAAGTTAGACGAAGAGTAGTAGATTTTCTGAGCCTGTTTGGCAAGAGGTAGATAAGAATAAGGCAAACATAGTAATAGGGAGTTCATGAATAACACACGGAAAGAGAACTTACAGGGCTGTGATCAGGAAACGAGAAAAATGAGTCAATATATCTTGTGCCCTAACACTGTATGGAAGAAGAAAATAATTATGAAAATATACACTGGATTTCAAAGGGAAAATAAACCTTCAGTTTTTAGCCTCCCTATGTTTTAGCACTGAGCAACCAGAGAACTTTTGAGATTTCCAAGTGTAAGCTTTCACCTCAGTATTTAGGGCTAGTTTTAATATATTTGGTTCCACTTTTGCTAACTCTTTAAGCCAACTGTGGGACACACTGGTTTTTCTCTCCTTGTGGCGTGCAGCCTGGCTTCCTTTCTCCGGTTCTCTCACTCTTTGGCATAAAAGGAGAAGCAGTGAGAGGACAAGTCTGCCAGAGTAGGAGCCAAGGAACCAAACTGGATGCCTGCAAGACTGCAGACAAGTTCCTCTGAGCTGCAGGGTGAAGAATTTGAGCCTGCTCCTCCTCCCTTATTATTTGAAAAAACTAAATAGCATTTGCCAGTGTCAATATTACCAAAAATTAGGAATCTACAGGCTGGCAGCAAAGTAGATAGAAGAGTGTGTCTGAATACATCAGTATCTGTATTTTTAAAATACATTTTAATTAGGTACCTTGGACCTGCAGGCATATAGCACTGCTATTTCATCTACATTTGTATTATATCCTCACAAATTATTCTGTTGATCAAATGAAGTCAACAAGAGGACAATAGTTAAGGATCAGAGAAACGAAAAAGCCAGTGAGGAAATGTCTGTGAGGCCCTTCACAGGTAGTTTCTACTAATGAGAGGCGACTATATTCTTCAGCTGTGAAGAAGAGCTAGCAGAGTGTAAAACAGACCCACAGAAAAATTCAGAAGATTGTATTTGAAGTCTGGCTTCTCTTTGCTGCTCACTAGCTAGCTATGTCACCTTGGGTAGGGTAGGCACTGCATTTCAGATATTTTCGTTACTTGTAAAACGGAGTTGATGATAAAACCTTTTCCTGCCTTCCATATGGCTTGTTGTGAGATGCAAATAAAATAAACACATAAGAAACTACTTTATAAACTAGAATGTGCTGTCTGCTAAGTTTTATGACTTTCTAGATTTGGGTGTTGTGTTTCTAGCTGCCAAAGGATATTTGTTCATGAAATCCAGATTATTTTAATAAGACTTAGCATACACAATGATTTCTACCTGTTCACCCATTTAATTAACACAAGTTCTACTAGCAAACTCAGTATGAGTTTTACTTTTGTCTTTTTTTGCTGGCATTGCAGAGACTTTTATAGATATGCTAACTAGCTGAGAAACGGTAGGAGACAAGGGTGAGAACAGGAAAAACTGAAAAGTTAGGAAGTGAATGGATAGGCCCTAACACAATAATTAGCCCCTAAAAAAATAGAGGTATTGCTAAAAATTTATAAGACCATCACCAATATGCTCATTCATGTCTTGATACTTTATAATCATAAGGCAGAAGTATGAAGAACACATATAATAATTATGATTTTTATGTTTTCTTCAAATTAGTAGATTTCTTATAAAGTGGGGCAATGTGTGATTTAAAAATAATGGTGTTTTTAGGGCCTTTTAATTGTTATGTTTCCAGAAACATGGAATTATTACTGTGCTAAGGAAATAAATGATACTATCCTGATTCCCCACTGGCATTTATTGCTAAGGACAGTAAGTTCAGAGTGGCGGTGTCTCATCACAACCTCTGCGTTTGGCACCACCAAATATTGTAGTTGACTCACCCAGGCAAAGAAAAAAATAATTCTCAGAAAAACATTTACTTTGTAGGTCAAAATTTTCCTTCAGACCACCCCAATATGGGAAACAGATGCCAGGGACCCCTGGTCTGATTGAATTTGGAAATATACCAAAAACACCCAAAGTCAAGAGAACCCTGCTTTTTAAGGTACAACAAAAAGACATAGCATAGACAATACTATAAAGAAGAGAATTATGAACAATGGCATAATAGAAATTTGAATAAAATAAGGGATTGGAGTGCAAACAACATGAAATTTTTTTTTTTTTTTAATTATACTTTAACTTTTAGGGTACATGTGCACATTGTGCAGCTTAGTTACATATGTATACATGTGCCATGCTGGTGCGCTGCACCCACTAACTCGTCATCTAGCATTAGGTATATCTCCCGATGCTATCCCTCCCCCCTCCCCCCACCCCACAACAGTCCCCAGAGTGTGATATTCCCCTTCCTGTGTCCATGTGATCTCATTGTTCAGTTCCCACCTATGAGTGAGAATATGCGGTGTTTGGTTTTTTGTTCTTGCGATAGTTTACTGAGAATGATGATTTCCAATTTCATCCATGTCCCTACAAAGGACATGAACTCATCATTTTTTATGGCTGCATAGTATTCCATGGTGTATATGTGCCACATTTTCTTAATCCAGTCTATCATTGTTGGACATTTGGGTTGGTTCCAAGTCTTTGCTATTGTGAATAATGCCGCAATAAACATACGTGTGCATGTGTCTTTATAGCAGCATGATTTATAGTCCTTTGGGTATATACCCAGTAATGGGGTGGCTGGGTCAAATGGTGTTTCCAGTTCTAGATCCCTGAGGAATCGCCACACTGACTTCCACAATGGTTGAACTAGTTTACAGTCCCACCAACAGTGTAAAAGTGTTCCTATTTCTCCACATCCTCTCCAGCACCTGTTGTTTCCTGACTTTTTAATGATCACCATTCTAACTGGTGTGAGATGGTATCTCATTGTGGTTTTGATTTGCATTTCTCTGATGGCCAGTGATGATGAGCATTTTTTCATGTGTTTTTTGGCTGCATAAATGTCTTCCTTTATGCAGCCAAAAAACACATGACTAAAGAGCTTCTGCACAGCAAAAGAAACTACCATCAGAGTGAACAGGCAACCTACGAAATGGGAGAAAATTTTCGCAACCTACTCATCTGACAAAGGGCTAATATCCAGAATCTACAATGAACTCAAACAAATTTACAAGAAAAAAACAAACAACCCCATCAAAAAGTGGGCGAAGGAGATGAAGTTTTTTTCCCAAGCTCCTGTGGTCTGAAAAAAGACATGCTTCTAAGAAAATGTGTTTGTGTGTGGGATGGGTGTTTGTGTGCGTGTTCACAAGCTTGAAATTCAACAAACATGGGAAAGCAATTGTTGTAGGCCATAAGAAAAAAATAGGCAATTTTTATTAAAAAGTGATGCTGGAAATAGATTTAATTGATTAGATTTGAAATACATTTTGTGGCTGAGTATGACCTCTGGTGTTAATCTAGGGAAATTCTCTCACTTATATGCTTTAATGGAACAAAAAGAAGGAAATTTAATTTTCTGAAAGCTTATCACTGGAAGTCATAGCCCTTGATCTGCGTCTTTTTTTTTCCCCCAATGTTTCTTCATTTCCTTCCTCTCTCCTTCTCTCTGTACTCACAAATATAAATAAGTATCTACTATGTGCAAACTACTATCCACGTGGAAGAATATTGCCTTTGTTGCTTCATTTAACTTTACATGTTACATGTATCTCTACAGTCCTGTGTAGAAAAAAAAGAAATCATGTTATGCACATTTTAAATGTCTACATATAAACTTAAAATTTGTTGACTTTATTAAAAGAGGAATGATGAAAATAAGAACTTCTTAAATGTGCCTGTTATAACCTAATAGTGTAAAATGCCTTAAATAATGAAGTTATGATTCAGACTAAAAATGAAACAAAATTATCTTGTGTTTTTTCATCATCATAGTAATACAGGTTTACCACACTCTCAATATACAGATATTTATTAGCAAGACGGCTGAGTGTGTGTAATCAGTTGATTTCTTAACAGAAAGCCGATAAATGTCTGATTGATTTGCTCTCTGTCCAATCACAGTGAGTTTTACATTATTAAATTATTTTATGAGCTTTTTCAAAATAGTGCTAGCCGGAAGTAGTATTAGTCTGAGTTTTGGTGTTCCGACAGTCCCTCATGTTGTGAATCAAATTTCCATTTTCTTCTGAATTTTGTGCATTCTATCCTCCTGTGTACCCCCTTGAAGAGAAGTGAGAACTCCATGCAACATTGCCATAAATCTCAGTAGGCAATTTCTGAGATGATTATTTCTACATGATTTCTACATGATTAATAGCACTGCAACTAATCCCATATTACAGCATAGAGATATACATGGCAAAAGATACATTTTTGCCTATTATTTTGGTTTTGGAGCCTCTGTTGAAGCCGTGAATTTGCTATTTGACAAAGTCAGTTTGACACAAGGGATGCAGCCATTATTTTTCTTATGACAGTTTAGTAACTGTAGAACCTTATATCTAATTTAATGCTGGCAACAACTATTATGATATTTCAGGGGTGGAGGCTATGTAATCTTTTATCTAAATTTATGAACGGCTAATAAAAATATTTATTAATTTACCATAATGTTCCTTTGAAGTATTTAGATTTGTAAGGATGAATCAAACATTTTCACTCAATCGCTACGTATAGCAACTGGAAAGCTACATAATTTGTTGAAAAGCGTCCTAATACATGTTTGATGGATTTTCCGCATGAGTTGAATTTCTTTTTCAGACCAGGTTAGTAACTTTTCATAGGGAAACTTTCATTTTAATTCAAATTACTTCGCAGGATTGTTTTGAATACTCATGCTTTCCACACAATTTATGCAGTATCTACTCAGCTGCCCCGAAGACTCAATTAGCTTCGTGATTCTAAAGAAGTTTTATTGAATTGCTATTTTGAAGATACAGAACAAAAATAGTAATAGATGATAAAAACAAAATGCTGTCTCTGATTGTTAGCCACTAAATTATATTCTTGACCAAGACCATTGAGAAATTCAATTCCGGACAGTATTAATTAGCTCAAGTCCAGGGCTACGGGACTAAAAGCAGCTGTGCACCCCCCACCCCTTTTTTTCTGCTGAATGTTTATTTGCACACACAAAAAATTAAAATTAACATGTGTCCAAAGAACATCATAAAATGAATTATTCATTCCATGGCATTGAAAGCGCACACACGCACACTCTGAAAAGCAGATACCAGGTAAGCAACTTTAGGGCAGCTGCCGAGTAGAATATCAAGAAATTGGATCCAGCTGAGAATTCCAATTACCTAATGACCTAATGAGGGTGATCCGCTTTCACTCTAATTGCTAGGTCTAACTCGTTGTAATAGTCTTTATCATGAAAAGCAGGCTTTAAAATAATTTAAAATGGAAACAAATATTCAACGGGCCAATTTCTTTCACCTTCTTTAGGGGGAGACGGGAATTTGAATTCACAAAGAAATGCAAATGTAAAGACTTAAGATGGAGCAGAAACAAAGAACATAAGGATCACCTAGTGCATTGTGTTGGTACATCTCTTAGAAGAAGACAGCACAGGGAATTTGTGAGACACCAAATGCAATTTTTGTTAGTTTATTAGAGAGTAAATAAATAAATAATGATACCGAACTCCAACAAAACTCCAGCACTGTCCGTGGGCAGCGACTATTCAGCCCAAGCTATCATTCTTAATTTCCCTGCCAGGCTGCGACTACCGGGGTGAATCAGCCCGCGCCAGGCCCCTTTCCCACCCGCCGCTGCAGTTAGGACTTGGCAAAGATGCTCGATATTTGCGTATTTGTGACCGGTCTTTGCTTTGTGTCTGCGCTGCAGGTGAGGAGGAGGAAGAGAAGCAGAAGAGCAGCTGGAGGCCGGCGGTGGCTGAGCAGCCCCCACACCTTTGAGCGAGCCGCCTGCCTCTCCACCGGCAAGGAAGCCCTGGGACCTCCGGATTCGGGCTGCCGGAGGGCCTGAGCGCCAGAGCCCAGGACCCGGCGGCCGGGGGCGCCATCCCCTCATGTTCTGGAGAAGGCGCAAATGTGAGCTGGCGGTAGCGGGGAAAGCCCTCCGCCCCCGCCAGGGGGGACCCGGGAAGCCCGGCCGGCTCTGTCGGCAGACTGCGGGGATCCCCTCCTCCGGCCCCGCCCCCACCCACCCCCGGCCGGGGTGCCGAGGCGGTTAACCCTACCCGCGCCGCAGCGCACTTGGGCTAGAGCGCCGCGCACCCAATCCAGATTCCAGAGCCTGCCGGCTGGGAAAGATCCGGTCTCGGGGTCGGCTATGATCCCGCAGCGGCCAAGGCAGGGCTCAGGCCCCGGGATTCTCCCCACACGCTGCTGCACTGGCGCAGCCGGTCGCCAAACTTTTTCTCCCCAAAGCCAGTGCCCCCGCAGTTACTTGGCGGGCAGCCGGCAGCCCACTCTCGGCGGGATGATCTGGGAGAAGCGGGCGTGGGACGAGGGGGCTGCTGTTTTGCAGCCCTGCGAGGCGTGCAGTCGGAGAAGTGGTCGGGGTTCCACACCGTCCCTGAGCCTGCCCCCGGCCAAGGTGGCCCGACGTGCTGCAGTGGCTGGCGCAGGTGATCCGGGCAGCGCGTCCGGCACTAGTCAAGGGGGCAGCGGCACGGGAGGGAGGGGCGCCTTTCTCTTTTCTCCTCCCCCTGCAGCCCAGCTGCACTGCGTGGGGGCTCTCCATCTCCACGCAATCAGCAGGCGGAATCCCTGCCCTGGAGCGCCCTGGCTCTGGACTGCACCCCCCTAGGGTTTGTCCTGCAGATTCCCCTCCCCATCTTTCTCTGCCACACACGCTTCCCTAAGCCGCGCGCGCCGCAAACTCAGTCTCGGTCCCCGCAGGTGATGTCATGCCCATTGTTTTGGTGCGCCCAACCAATCGGACTCGCCGCCTGGATTCTACCGGAGCCGGCATGGGCCCTTCCTCGCACCAGCAGCAGGAGTCCCCGCTCCCGACCATAACGCATTGCGCAGGGTGCACCACCGCTTGGTCTCCCTGCAGCTTTAACAGCCCTGACATGGAAACCCCATTGCAGTTCCAGCGCGGCTTCTTCCCAGAGCAGCCGCCGCCGCCGCCGCGCTCCTCACACCTGCATTGCCAGCAGCAGCAACAGAGCCAGGACAAGCCGTGCCCGCCCTTCGCGCCCCTCCCGCACCCTCACCACCACCCGCACCTCGCGCACCAGCAGCCGGCCAGCGGCGGCAGCAGCCCATGCCTCCGGTGCAACAGCTGCGCCTCCTCCGGTGCCCCGGCGGCGGGGGCGGGAGATAACCTGTCCCTGCTGCTCCGCACCTCCTCGCCCGGCGGCGCCTTCCGGACCCGCACCTCCTCGCCGCTGTCGGGCTCGTCCTGCTGCTGCTGCTGCTGCTCGTCGCGCCGGGGCAGCCAGCTCAATGTGAGCGAGCTGACGCCGTCCAGCCATGCCAGTGCGCTCCGGCAGCAGTACGCGCAGCAGTCCGCGCAGCAGTCGGCGTCCGCCTCCCAGTACCACCAGTGCCACAGCCTGCAGCCCGCCGCCAGCCCCACGGGCAGCCTCGGCAGTCTGGGCTCCGGGCCCCCGCTCTCGCACCACCACCACCACCCGCACCCGGCGCACCACCAGCACCACCAGCCCCAGGCGCGCCGCGAGAGCAACCCCTTCACCGAAATAGCCATGAGCAGCTGCAGGTACAACGGGGGCGTCATGCGGCCGCTCAGCAACTTGAGCGCGTCCCGCCGGAACCTGCACGAGATGGACTCAGAGGCGCAGCCCCTGCAGCCCCCCGCGTCTGTCGGAGGAGGTGGCGGCGCGTCCTCCCCGTCTGCAGCCGCTGCCGCCGCCGCCGCTGTTTCGTCCTCAGCCCCCGAGATCGTGGTGTCTAAGCCCGAGCACAACAACTCCAACAACCTGGCGCTCTATGGAACCGGCGGCGGAGGCAGCACTGGAGGAGGCGGCGGCGGTGGCGGGAGCGGGCACGGCAGCAGCAGTGGCACCAAGTCCAGCAAAAAGAAAAACCAGAACATCGGCTACAAGCTGGGCCACCGGCGCGCCCTGTTCGAAAAGCGCAAGCGGCTCAGCGACTACGCGCTCATCTTCGGCATGTTCGGCATCGTGGTCATGGTCATCGAGACCGAGCTGTCGTGGGGCGCCTACGACAAGGTACAGGCTTGAACCCCAGCCCACGCTACCGGAGTCGGGCACTGGGTGGTTGGGATGGGCACTGGCGGGGACCCTTTGCGTGCGGATCCCTAGCCTCTCCGGGACGATCAAGGGAGCCCGCCAGGACAGCGGGCGCGTCTAGGACGCGCATCCGTAGTCAGCTAAACAACTCGGAGATGAACCCTTTCCGCGTGCAGCCAAAGTTCTCGAGGCAGTTAAGAGTGCTCAGCGCATTCGGGCACCTTAAGTAAGTGGTTCTGGAAGTCGGTGGGGAAACCATCTGTAATTCATCCCCTCGTGAATTATGTTTAGAAGGGCCCTTTCAACCCGCTCTCTTGAACTCAGAAGTAAGTTCCTCTGGTTTTGCTAGCCTGGAACAGCGGCGCTCGCTTCGGTCCTCTATGGCGTGGACCCAGCAGCCCAGCCACGCGTCTTCCCAGTCTTTCCAGGTCTACTCTCGTCTCTTTTGGTTTTGAGGCCGAGTGATCTGACAGATCACAGAGCCAAGACAGGTGCACCCCTCTCCCCTTATCTTCCTTCTGTGAGTTCAGGTCCACCTGTGGGGGACTGACTGACTCTGGGGACGTGGAAGGCGGTTAAAAGTGCTTCTTTCTTAAAAGTGCTTCTGTCTGACTGTGTTGCAGGCGTCGCTGTATTCCTTAGCTCTGAAATGCCTTATCAGTCTCTCCACGATCATCCTGCTCGGTCTGATCATCGTGTACCACGCCAGGGAAATACAGGTAACTTAGGTCCTGCTGTTTATGAATGACCCAAAGCCCTACAGTCAGCCTAGAGAAACGCAAGGCAGCAGAGGCTTTTTTCAAGCCATCATGTCCTTGCTTGAGGTTACAGAAGACACATGCTGTATTGTTACCGTTAGCACCTGACCTGTTCTTTCAGGAAGTGGAAAACAACACAAGGCAGGGTAGCATATAAACATGCAGCATTTTCTGAGGTGTATTTGTTGGACCCTTAAGATTTTTACTTCTCTTCAGTAGGTGGATCCTTTTCTCCAGATCAGTCACATTTTGTTCCTTAAGGCCAGTTATGCTCTAGTTTTAATCTGGAATGAACTTGTGTTCTTGTTTGAGACACCTCTTCCTAGTGGGTGCGTCATTATGGGAGATTGTATCTATCTATATAATCTTCTGTAATTTAGCATAGAGAAGAAAACTGGGTGATGAGTTGCCAGCTAATTTATATAAATGAGATATGGGAAAAGATCTAACCCCTTCCTAAATCCCCCACCATTAAAAAAAACTGTTGTAAGTTTAGAATGCAAATTCTGTGTATCCAGTCATGAAGTATTTTTTAAAATGTAATTTAAGAGTTAAGGCCACTGTCCTTGTGAGTTCTTTTTTTTTTTTTTGAAAATATTTCTTTTGTTTAAATGCAGCCAGGAGCTCTATATTTGACTGTTAGTATCCATATCAGAATGCTCTATAAAACTTACGGGTCATCTTGTCAGTTGTTAGCCTACACAGGAATATTAAGGCTTTTAAATTAAAATAAGTATAGAGTTTTCAAAAATTAGATTGGGACTTTTTTCAGCTTAGAATTTGCACTGTGTGGGAGGCGCGGTGGCTCAGTCCTGTGGTCCTGGTGCATGAGAATTTGCACTATGTATTTTCTGAGTTTTTTTTTTTCTTTTTTGAGCAGTTGTTAGACATTTGGTGGTACTTTGAGACCCTTAATTTAGGCCATCTTCCTTTAGACTGCCTCAGATTTAAGCTGCCTTTCAATTTAAAATCTTATATAGGATTTGCCTTTGAAGTAATTTAGTATTAATTTAAATTAAATTAATTTTAAATTAGTAATTAGCAAACACAAAGTAAATATGGAAGAAATCGTTTTTAATGATGCCCAGACAAAATAGTGATGCACATTACTCCAAGTGCAGAGGGAGAAATTACTTCACGTTGCCTTTATACTTGTAAAACTTTGAAAAATGTGTTTTTGAAGGGATGAGGTTGGAGAATGATAATTAGAAAGAGTGAGACTACTCAGAAATAAATTACAAAACTGCACTGACAAAATGAGATGAACACACATTTGAATTTTTTAAAGTTTTAACAGTTTACATAGATTCATCTTTAATTCAATACTAGTGATGGTTGGGCTTTTGAGATTATTTTGAACATTTTAAAGTGATACTAAAATATAACTTAAACATTAGAAATTTATCTTTTCATTTTGACTTGAAGAGTAGACAATTAGAGCTGGAAGGAACAAAATAGGTTTAATGGTCCTTTGACTCAGTTTACAGATAAGGAATCTGAAATCAGCAGAGGTAGCTTGCCGGGCCACACAGCTAGACAGTGCACAGTGAGAACCAGCCCTATCCTAGCTTCCAGGCCATAATGCTTCCTCTGCGAGCTGCTGCTACATGCCAAAAACTGTGAAACGTGAATATTTCTTTTTCTGCAGTTTCCCTCTAAATCCAAAAGTTTGGTATATAAATTCAGTTAAACTTAAAAGATCATTCCAAAATGTTCTTACATATTTTTAAAAATCAAGTTAACTTGAAAAATGTTTTGTTTGGAGGACAGAGTCGTTTTGCTTAATGATTCTGAAATGAGAGATCTTGCTGGGTTTTATTAAATATCAGCTTTGTGTTATTGCCTGTTCCTTGTGAAAATCACACAGCTAAAGAAACATTCATGGGGGAGGACATTTGCTGGTATTAACATCAAAAACAAAGTGTCTTGAAAACATTGACTCTTTAAGAATTATTGGGAGATTTTTTGAAGTAATTCATAGGAGTCTAAGAGCTACCAAATGTTAACTATTTGAAAAAATTGATGTCATATTAGAACGCTTAAAATTTACAGAAGTTTATAAAAAATCATATTTTTATAGATTAATGCTTGAAAGCATTCCACTCATTGGCTAATTTTGAGGACCATTTCAATTATGCATATGCACATATATTTTGATTAGGGTATGTATTGCATGGGTGAGAAAAATGACATGGAATGACTCTCCACGGCAAATATGCACAGTGAACTTCCTTACTGTTGGTCAACATAAACGTTATAGAATGATATATGTTTTAAAATTCGGTTTATTTTATATGATATGTGGTTTCTGTTAAACCCACTATACTTAAGATAATTTCAAAATAGATGCTTGGGTCATGTCATTTAATTAATTTGGATGTAGCTTTTTTACTCGGTGTATTATCTAGAGGGATTTCTCCTTTAAGCTGAAGCTCCAAATTCTTATCTGAGATGCTTTTATTAAAAAATAAATAAATAAAATGGAGAAGGGCCAAACAAATGTGAAGACCCTGAACTGGAAGTCAAGAACCAGAAAAAGGTAAAGATGTTCTAATTTGTCCAGAGAAGAGCGTCAGCAGGGCTGTCAAATACCTTATTCTGAAACACAATGAAACCAACTGCTCAGGCTTATGTATATGCATGGAAAATGATGAATTGCCCCCCGCCCTCCTTTTTTACTTATTGATGTCACTGCTGTGGGTATATATGTTTTTTCATAAAAAGTTTTAAGCTAATGAGCACTTCTCAGCTCACGCTAAATAATTCCAAATATATCAATTAGCTTTGAGTTAAGAAACTAAATGCAAGGTTATGCTGCCATTCATAGCGTGTCCTTGGATGTAGCATATAATCTAAAAGGACAGTTTAGCTTTTTCTTTTTAGCATATCAGTATGATAATCAGATAGTAAAAGCTCGCCAGTGCAGATTTCTGGTGCATGATATGATTTCTCACTGCATTCAGGAAAAGTAAGTGTTATAGCTGACTTTCTGGCTCTATGTCCTCTGGAATTGCTTAATGAAGCAAGAGGAGGCCCTGACATTTTCATGGAGAACCTTGGAAAGCAGATCCGTGTGACCTTTTATAAAATGTTTATACACACTCTGGCAAAACAAGATGGTTCAGGTGAGTCATGGATGGAAGTGCTTGTATTAAAACAGTATGATGGGGAGGCTTTGTAAGATACCAGCTCAGTAGATTTCAGCTTTGGTGTCATTTTTCAGTACCACAGACAGCTCAGTGCACCAGGCAACAATTTTGTTCATTTTACTAATTACTTTTATACCTCACTACCAAAAATGAAATCACATTTTGGTCGTAATACTTATAAAACATCAGATTTAGTAGGAGTAATTTTTAGCTAAGGAGATGTTAGACTTTTTCAGGTGATATTGAACTTGTTTTCTATATCTATCAGTAAAGCTAAAAAATAAATGAACACATAAATTTTAATAAATGCCTATGTATCATGACCTTATGACAAAAGAAAACATAATAGCGATTATTTTTGTACAGTTTGGAAAGGTCCCTTGATATTAAGTAAGTAGCCTTCCTACCTCAAGTCTCAAGGTCAAATTATAGGTAAAACAGAAGCATGCTTTTCAGTGACATTTTTTTTTTTTTTACCCCACCCCACAGTGGGGTTGGAGATGCATCTCTGATGGATAAAGTACAAAACGGAGTTCAACTATCCTTTAAGATCTTCAGCATCTGAAATTTTCAGTGTAGCTTCCACTGCATCTTTTCAGCTTTAGTATACTATTATTTTTCTTATAGAGGTAATTTTAGATGAAAGAGTTGTTTAGTACTTTGAGGTAGGCAAACATAAGATTCTAAGCAGGGACAGAAAACCCCTTGGACTAGTGCCTGATCTTTCTGGTTCTCATGGGTCCTGGAAGAATGGCAGATGATATACTTTGAATTGGAAAACATTTTCGTTTGTTTGTTTTTGTAATGTACAGCTGACTTTTGAACAACATGGGTGAACTGTGTGGATCCACTTATACACAGATTTTTTTTTTCCAGTAAATATAGTGGGCCCTCCATATCCATGGGTTCTGCATCAGCAAAAATACAGTATTCACTAGCTGTAAAACCCTCATACAGACGGTTGACTTTTCATTTATGTGGGTTGCAAAGTGCTGAAAATCTTAAGTATACATGGATTTTGGTGTCTGTGGGATTCCTGGAACTAATCCCCTGTGGTTACCAAGGGACAACTGTAATTATATAATAAATAGCATTAGGAGAAGCAACAATGTTTATTTGTCATCTTTTATGATGGAATAACTCTTTTCATCATCTTTAGAGTTGGCTTTTCAGAGATGGCTCTATAGCTCTATAATCGGAAGAACAGTAATGAAAATTTCTCTTCATTCGTGCACCAAGGCCACAGAAAACAGGAAAGAGTGAGTGAGGGTGGGGGCCTCACCTGGACTAGTTGGGGAGGGGTGGTCCCTGTCTACTAGTAGGCTCTGTGGTTTGCTATGTGAAGGCTCAAGTCTGAAGAAGAAAGACAGAGTGTTCCCTTTGCTACTTCTACAGAGAGCAAACAGGTGTTTGCAGACCATGCAGAAAATACTGCATATAGTTTACTATTTTTATTAATAAAATAACCAATACACATAATAAAAACAGTACAGCAGACTTTAGAATAAAAAGTGAAAGTCGCATTCTCTCAGTCATGTTTCTCAGAGGTAACCACTTTTAAGTTTTATATATATACCTTCAGAATTTCAATACGGAATATTTAGGAATACACCCATACCTTGCTTATATTCTGTATTATATCTTGGAGGTTTATCCTCAGCAGCAGTAGGGACCTATTTCATTTTTTTTTAGCAGGTACATGAGATCCTATTCTATGGATGTACTGTGGTTTACTTCACCAGCCCTGATCTGAGAGCCGATAGGCAAATTGGAGTTTTCTAAGTTTTTGCTGTTACAAGTAATATTAAAATGAACATCCTTATATATTTATTTTAATCTATTTAGAGTATATACATATGGTAAATTTTCAGCAGTGAGACTGCTGAATCAAAGGGAGTTTGCATTTTAAATGGAAAGGTATTGCCCACTAGTCTTCTAGAAAGGCCGTCAGAGTTTATGTCTCTGCTTTCTCACACGTTATTCCTCCACAGCATTGTGAACACTGGATGCTATAAAAATATTTATTAAAGAAATCTAAAAAGTTTACCATTTTCTTGCAAAACATTTTTTGGTGACAAATTGTTTAAAGACAAAGCTCAAGGCCTCAGGCTTCTTTGCATCTATTTTGTAATATCAGTGCGTTATCTAATCTGCCAGCAAATGGAGTTATCAGAAGCAAATGTTTCCCAAGTTTTATTATCTCAGTTAAAAAATTTTGGAGGAGGTTGTTGAAGATGAAGGAAGCTAAAAAAGTAGAAGAAATTATCTTGGATTGGTCTTAAGTTTTCTGCTATGGTAGTTTCATGTACCTATGAGGTGGATAAAAATTATAGCAACAGGTTGAAGGTAAGACTCCAAAAGATAGTGAGGTAGAAAACTTGCCTGAATTCCTTTGTTGAGTGGTGTTCAGCTCAGTGACTGATGTCTATATTGCCAGCATCCTCTATATCAGAAGTAATGAGATGCTCAGTCCCTTTGACTTTGTGTATACACTGTAGTAACGAAATCACTCAGGACTAATTTTCTCCGCCTGCTTGTGTAAAGATCTCTGCATTATTAATGGGTGTAACGCTAAATAAAGCTATCCTGGTGTGTTTACAGAGCAGCATCACAAATGAATGAAGAGTGGAACTTTAGGTTTACCACAAATGGGTTTTCTAGAGTATCCAACCTGTTTCTGGGCCATGTTTTGTACAGTTGAGAGATAAGGGCACTGTGGGCTGTCATCCCAAACCACGTTTGGCAGGGAGCACCAAGGCAGCCTGCGTTGATTTAACTTCAGAGAAGTTATATTCAGTTAGGATAGGAAGTGGTTTTGTGGGGTTGTTTTAGAGAGAATTTCTACTCATTAAGAAATAATATAATATTTGCTACTTTGGGAGTACATTTTCAACCTGAAACTCCTTAATAATTCTATTTATAAAACTAGAAAACACATGGAGGGATCTTAATTATTATTGGGCCCAGTATCCCACCCAGCATGAGAATGTCCTTTATGTCATTGTTAATAAAAGTGAGTCACCCAGTTCCTGCTTAAACTCTTTTCCCAAGATTGGCAGTTCATACACGTACAAGGCTGTTTCATTCTTAGCTCTTATTTTTAGTAAGATTTTACGTTCAGGTGAAGTCTCATTTTATTTATTCCATATTCAGCATTTTAAAAGTTTTTGAGGTCTGCAAATGCAATGAGGAATAAGACAGGAGGGGCCCTTTCCTCTTGGAGCTGATATTCCAAGGAGGAGGGGTTAAAGAGAGACAAAAAATTAATAATAAACAAAATTTTTGGAAGTTGTGATAAATTCCCTAGAGGAGAGACAAAGGGCTGAGATAGAAAGTTGGGAGGCAACAGTTGCATACATCAGACAGGACCATCAAGGGAGGACTTTCTGAGAAAGTGACATTTAAACTGAGACATAAAGGGAAAGAAGTATCCAGTATTGCCAGAGTCTGGGAACTACCTGTGTGAAGGCCTTATGACCAGGAATTTACTGTGCTTAAGCAAATGAGAGCAAACCAGCATAGCATAGCATAGGCCAAGCAGGAGCAGAATGGTACCAAACAGAATGGGAGGGGATAAAGGGGCCTGATTTTCAAGGACTTGAGACCATTGTAAGGATTTATGGATTCCGCCCCCCACCCCTCCCACATGCAGTGGGAAAGTCAGTAAAGAGTTTAAAGCAGGCAAGGCTCATGATCCAGCTGAATGTTTAAGCAGGCCTTGTTTTGATGCTGTGAGAATTGGTCTGGATACTATTAGGTAGTTGTTGGCAAGCTGATTCATAGAGATGATGCTCACCTGGCTTAATAGCATTCTTGCTTGTAGCAGCCATAGAGATGAGGAGAAGTGGGCTGATTGGAGGTAGAACAGACTTACCAGTGGATAGAATGTGGCAGGTAAGGGCAAGGGCCAATACAAAGATGATTGATGGGGTTCTGGTTGGAGCAACTGAGTGTGTTGTACTGAGAAGGGAAGACTCAAATTGAGGAGCAGGGTGTAGAATCAGGAATTTCTTTTAGCATAATATATTTGAAATTATGCTGATTGTATATGAGAGTCTGGAGTACAGAGGAAGTCTGTACCGGATATTTAAATTTGGGAGTTATCAGCACAGAGACTATTTAAACCCACAGGAATTGATGAAATCACTGAGAGAGAATAGAAAAATGAGAAGGTTGAGAGTTGATCATTCTCTGACATCTAGAGGTTGAGTAAAGTAAGAAGTAGAAAAAAGAGACAAGAATGAATTGTCCCTGAGGTGAAGGAGTCTAAGAGATAGGAGTGTTTTAAGGAGGGCATAGCACTCTATATTGAATGCTACCAAGGTCTCTTAACATGGGGTAGGGAAGTGCTTTTTGCATTTGGAAAATTGAAGGTCATTGCTGACCTTGATGAGCCGTTTCTGTGGAGTGGTTGAGACAGAAACAGACTGTAAGTTTTAGCATAAAAGAATAAGTTCATTTCCCTTTTCACAGGATCACAGAACAAACATTTTAACATTAGATCCATTTAAATGCCCTCCTAGTTAAATAGTCCAATTTCTTTGAATATTCCTTCTCAGACATTGAATGTCCCTGATCACATCCTTCTGGACTTACTCAGTTATGTTGAATTTCCTCTTCAAATGAGAAAGTCAGAAACATACCCAGCACTTTCAGATAGGATCTTCCAGTGGGGCTGTTACCTCTCTTCATCAAAAATGCTATATTATGCCGACTCTTATTAGTCTAAAATGGTCATTGCTTCACAGAAATTTGCCCAGTGACACGTAAAATTGTTATTGAACTAAATGCTCAGCTTTACGTTTACTAACCCTTTTAAATAGCATCTTGATTTCAGACCAGCATATCAGCCTGTCAGAATTGTTTGAATCATAATGCTAATGTTTATTTGACAAAACTTGTTTAGGTTTGGAAAATCCTGTGTGTGGATGATCTATGGAATTGGCAAGACTCCAGCGTTTAAATTGGTGCTAGATTCTGTTCCAGAAACGTGGTCGATATTGGTGGTTCTTACTTGGTTTGGATACCTGTCGTTGACACATTTGACTCTTCTTTCCTAGTTTTGTGCTAGCTGTGAGTTTGAAAAGTGAATCTTTGGACAAGCCAAGGTCAGAGTTTAGAAGTAGGCCCTTTTTGTTGTTGAGCCATCTGCTCATCCATGATGTTTGAACTCTATGAACTCTATTAGCCACCTCACATTTCTCTAGTTTGTGTACAAGAATTTTATGAGGACTTATTAAAACCTTATTAAAATCCACATTTTCTGTGTTTACTGCAGTGTCAGGATCTTTCAGTCTATTAGTGATATCCAAGAAGGAAATAAGACTGATTTGCTTGTAATTTTAGTATATAATATAAGCTTTATGACCTAATCCCTTTACTCTTAAAAATTTTATTTTTTCCCTTCAGATTATAAAATTAATAACTATTCATGTTAGAAAATTTGTGAAACATAGGAAAATATGAAAAGTAGTATAAATTAGTCTAATCTTACCACCCAGTGATGACTATTATTTATGTTACCATGTATTTATATAAAGTATATGGACATGCTATTTGATACGTTATTGTATAAGGAAATTTTATATTCTCTTCATGTAACTTTTTATTGTTTTTCCTCATGTTTAAACATTCTTAATATTGTAGATGCAAGTTTTCTTTCATTATGTAGATATAATCAATTTTATTATTTTCCCTATTTTGGACACTTAAAAATTAGAAATAACATATTTTAAACATTTTTTATAACAAATACCCTTGCACATTAACTTTTGTGAGCATCTCTTGTGATTTCCTAAGGATAAACTGCCAAGAGAGAAATTACTGAATTAAAGGGTATTATTTAAGACAACTGATAGCTTGTAAAATTATTCTTCCAAAAGTTTTTATCAGTCCTTTTATTTTTTAAATGCTTTCAAACCACTTTATTAAATGTGGTTTATTGAACTATGTGGCGAATTCTGCAGTATCTAGGTCCAGTGTGCCAGGTTCATTGAGTACTGTGCTGTGTAAATCTGGCAATTTGCTTCCCTGTGGACTCCTCTACCTTCCTAATTCTACATGATCTTGGTTTTGAAGTATTGGCTAAAAAGGCTTCTAAAAGGGTATCCCTTTTGAATAGTTAAAAACAATTATATAGAAACAATGGGAAAGCAATATTGGAAGATAACTGTCTCCAAATACTCCCAATTGTTTTCATTATAGGAAGCTTTAAAAGTGTGATTTCTGACAATTTTCTCTAAACTTTCCTGCTGAGCAGAGCAATAGGACTCTCCTTTGTGTTGACTGTTTTTACAACATAGTCTTGTGGCTTTGTGCATTCATTCCCAGCTCTGCCACTAATCAGCTGTGTGACCTTGGACAGGTTACTTAATCTCTCTGAACTTCAATTTTCTTGTCTGTAAAATGGGGAATATAGAGTACCTCTCTCATGGTGTTGTTATGAAGATTTTATATATATATATATATAAAATTACTTGGAACACTGCCTGGCATGTGGTAAGGGCTATTTACATGTCAGCTCTTGGTTATTGTTCACTATTTTGGAGTTTGTTGGGGTGGAAGGGGAGGAATTGGAGCTCAGCTTCTCTGGGCTTTAGAAAACTGTGATTTTTTTTTTTCCTTATGAAACTTATGAGAGAGAACAGGAAAAAAAAAGTGGCCATTCAAGCAGTCTTTATTAGTTTATTAACACTTAATCTAGGGTGTGTGTGCAAGCACATGCATATTTTTAAGTGAAAGCATTTGCTGTCTATTAAGGACAGCCATTTGTTTTTTTAAACAGATTTAGTTCTGAATCTTCCTGTGAGCAGGTTTGACTATCTTAGGAGAGAAGTAATAATTTTGTCTGTTAGGTTTTGGATCTGTAGTGATTGTTCAGGTACTATGATGTTAGGCTGACAGTTTGCACCAAAATGGCCATTTTCCACATAAACTTAACATGGATGTGGCTTCATCCTGGAATCAAGGCCCTTTCTATGTTACATTAACTCCTTCAGGCATCACAGCTGACTGCCTCTCCTCACCACTAATTAGGACCCTGGTGACTTAAAAGAGTTAAGTGAAGCACTCCTAAAAGTAAGCAAGGGGAATAATTTGGATGATGGAAAATTCTGGTATTAAACTCCTGCTGAAAGGATAAGAGGTAGTAAACAGCCTAAGGCATACATGTAAATGACTGTAGTTGGCAGTATTTCTGTCTGTATTCTTTGTAGGTCTACAGGATATTTAAATAAAAGGTGCTTTTTTCTTTTTCTGGACTGGGTTTATTTCTGGTGAGAGTTTTGTTTTCTTTGCTACACTCAACCACAGTGCTTGGAGTACAGTGGTCTGAAAGAACTGGGAAGAATTTCTGTGTGTAAATATGACAAGTAACATCTCGAAATATTCTGGGTACAGTGATTGTTTTGCTTTTTTATCAGGGAGCTTGTATCTTTTCTGTTTTATTTCAAATAATCATTAATTGAATCTACATTCTGTCCGTCCTTTGTTTAGAATAAGGTGTTATTGTTGAGTGAGTTTTGGACTTTGCTTTTCGAATTTATAGGACACATTGGGATTATACATTGTAAACTTGGAATTAATTATGTAGACCATTCTAACAACTGATATTCTACATCAATAATGTGTCCTTTGCTTTCTTTAATATTCTGGGCATTTTTGCCTGATTATGTAGCTATCCGTAGTGATTATCTGGTTTTAAGATGGGATTGTTTCCAGGTAGTTTGACCACTGTGACTTTATTGTCTAGTTACTGAGTTAGTCGTCTTCTGTCAGGAGGCTTTCGTTTTCCAGGGGAAATTCTGTGCAATATTTGCATATTAGTTTTGACAAAGACATACTGATTTTTCAGGAGAAAGCATAAAATACTATAGTATGCTTATCATGCTTTTCACCTTGGACAGTACTTTTCTTAGAATAGTGTCTCCAGTCACAAGGTTAAAAATTGCATGGGTGCTATTTCATGAACTGTTTAATTTTTTACTGTGTGGCTAAGGGAAACTATGCCCTAGCTTTGGATAGTAGAGTATTTAAGAAATTGATAGTAGAGTGTTTAAGAAATTAAAACATAATAATGAGGCTGAGTATTGAAGTTGTATGCATATAATGTGACATAAAAGTGATGGCTGTGGGATGTATAATAGTAATCTGATGCTTTTTCAAAGATACATCTAATACTTTTAGGTAGGTACCCAAGCAAAGGTATTGACTGAAAACTTTGTTTTATTTATGTGGAATTAGCTATGAAGTTTTAAGACTTAAAGGTCTTAGCTTTTAGAAACTTGCTGTAAGTCAATTTTCATAAAGGTAAATCATCTGTCACTTGGAAAAAGTCATGTCAGTTTGTCTCTTGAGGTGAGAATACCTGAAGATATATTTATTTAGTTATACATGTCATTGGTTTAAAACCTTTAGCTTACTGCTTGAACCTCTTGGTAATGTTGCAAATTTTAATACTGTTGTTGAAAAATATTTTGAGTTAGAATTTTACTTCATCAGTAGGATTTTAGTCAAGAATTTACTAGTTGTTCTTATTTGTCAGCATCAAAGAGGATATTTGATGGAAACGAGTTTGAGCAGGCTTCTACAATTTAAGCATGGGTGATACAAAGAGAAATCTCCAATATGCTTATTATTATTATTTTGCAAAAAGAAAGCAACAACACAATTCAGGGATGAAAACTATTTTTTAAAACTATTTTTGATTTTGTATTCACTGGCTCTTGTGGAGTTTTTAAATCATTTAAAAAAAGACTCACAGTGTATATATATATATATATATATATATGTATTTTTTTCCTTTAGCATATCTATTTCACACAATCTCTTTTAACCTTTTTGACAACTATACCTATTTTTCAGTTGTTAAGTTTTGACCACGTTCTGCGTCTCATCTCCCAATGTGTCCTTTGGATGTTTCTTACACTGGGGAATGAAGATCCAGCCCACTCACTGTCATGTTCACTGTCTCAGTCTGATGCTGTGTGTACAGATTGCTTCAGTGGCAGCTATTTAGGAATAATGTATCCATCAAATGTGTCTTATACAAGTAGCCACAGAAGGAAAGGGGACATGTGTTTAGGACTTAGTCCCTCAAGCCCATGTCAGAACATCCTTCCTGCACAGAGACCACACGGAACACTCAGTGGGCCTGCATCTGCTCTGCAGCATTTACCCAGCAGCAAGAGGTCTCCTCTGCACTAGTGTGCAAGAACACAGGTGGCTGCAGCAAGGTGATCAGTGTGATGGAGGGTGAGCAGAAGCCTCACCTTCAAAACTCTAATTATGACATGCTGCCATATGGGAACACAATTCAGCAAATGAAAAGCAATAGGATAGGGAGGCTGATGGTGAGAAACGATAGGCTCAGATGCCCTTGTGACATATGCTGTAGCTGCATTTGCAGGCTGAATGTAAATTTTCATTAATTTGCTCACATTTCCTCTCTCCTCTTTTGTGTGAATGATGACCTGTACATTCAGTGGGGTCCAAGCTATTGATGATTTTTAATCTTTTTCTTAAACACAATGGGGGAAATTACAATGAAGTGTTACAAGTGTACTTTTCCTTACCGAGGAGATAAAGTGAACAGGTTTTAAAATCATCTCATTGGCCAGCCATGGTGACTTATACCTGTAATCTCAATGCTTTGGGAGGCTGAGGAGAGAGGATTGCTTGAAGGAAGCCGGGAATTGGAGACCAGCCTGGGCAACATAGCAAGACCCCATCTGTGCAAAAGTAAATAAATGAAACACTTAGCTGGGCGTGGTGGTGCATGCCTGTAGTCCTAGCTACTTGGGAAGATGGCTTGAGCCCAGGAGTGAAGACTGCAGTGAATTATGATTGTACTACCGCCCTCTAGCCTGGGCAGCAGAGTGAGCCCGTCTCTTAAAAAAATAAAATAAAAATAAATTATCTCATTGACTTTATTTTAAATTTGCCTAATGGATCCTTTTGAGGAGCAGCTCTTCCTACCCAGTGCTCACTGAGTCCACCACTGGCTGTGTGTACATAACCTCTCCCTTTTTTGGCCTCCCCAGACTTGTTTTCATTTAGGAATATTCCTGGGAACATCTGCTGTGTTTTGAGAATACCAGCCACGTCAGGATTCCCACTCTGCCTCTGATCCTAAGGGACATATTGAGGATCCCTGATGCTCTCTAATCCCCCTATGTGCATCATTATGATTGGAGGGTGGAAAAATAAGCATAAGCGTAACATTTTCCAGTCATGTTGGATGGTGTCTGTTGCTTGTACTCGTGTTTATGTTGAATGATAAAAGCTTGTGAAAAGCAGAAGAGCTGCTGCTTGAATGAAGGTGATAGATGCCACCTGGCTGGGCCTGTCACTGTCCAGCAGGGTGTGGGTGGCAGCACAGAGTGTAGACCCCAAGAGGACAGTGTAAGGGAAGAAGCCCGAGGGACGCCTTCTATCTAGACAGACATTTGTGCCTCTGGAAAGCAGCCCAGATGTCAGTGAAGAACTTTGGCTCTGGATCCAGACAGATTTGAGTTAGAACTCAGTTTTACTCTGTGTGACCGTAAGAAGACAGTATTACCCCTCCCAGGCTCATTTTTTCATCTGTAAAATGGAAATGATCATTGTACCTATCTCATTAGATTGTTTTTGGGATTCAGTAAGACAGTGTTTATGAAGAATCTAGCGTGATACCTGGCACATCATAAATGCTCAATAAGTCTTAACTTCTATTATTATTATTCTGTCATTGTTACTACTCTTCTGTCATTATTATTAAGTAAATACTGTAGCCTTCACAAGGAAGCAGAGCCTAGAATCTAGGAGTATCTCAAGGTGGGAAGGGGGAAAGGCAATAATGCACCCATGTGTCAAGGTAGCTGAAAGTTCTCGTAAGAGGGACATTGGGCAGAGAAGGCAAATATTTGCTTAGTTAGAACAGGGACTGGCAAACTGCAGCCCATGGGCCAAGTCCGCCCCCTGAACAAATCTGGCGTATGTGTTTATATATAAAAAAAACTTTTATTGGAACACAGCCACGCCCACTTGTTCAGGTATTGTATATTGCCGCTTTTGTGCTACGATGGCAGAGTTGAGTAGTTGCAACAGAGGCCATGTGGCTGGCAAAATGAAAAATATTTGCTTTCTGGTCCTTTACAGAAAAAGTTTGCCAGCCCCTGAGTTAGAGAAGTGGATGGTCAGCAAAGGCAAGAAGAAACATGGCTGAAAGTGTTTGTTCTATCTTTGCATCAAAAGCTGTTTTATTCGCTCTGATTTTTACTAAGGAAAGTGTGTGGTGGGCAGAGATTCAGGTAGATGCCGATTGGGAAGTGCAGATTTTTGTAGGTGCAAGGCTTTCTGCTATGGCCCCTATCTCGGGCTTCTGTGTAGGAGTTTGTACCCCTGGGATTGATGTGGAATTGTGTGTTGAATTAGGTTTACATCATCACATGCAAGTGAAATGGCTGTAGTTGAAACTTCTGGTGCCTCGGGGTTGGGAGTCATTTTTGGGAGGGGCAGTATGGGCAGTATGTTTGACCCATGGTGCTGCATAACTTAGTGTCAGCATCTCATTGAGCTAGGCATCTCATTGTGGCTTATAATGTTCTGTGACACTGTCGGTGTGGCTTGCCTCAATCATGAAGTGAGACTCATTTGTTTTATGTTGTGAAGAAAGTATTTTATAGCTGACTGTTCTCTAACTCTGTATTTTGCCCTAAGAAAGCCACAAATTAAGGTGGGAAGCAGTAAAGAGTGTTTGTTATTTTCTTTTGGTCTGAAGTTCTGGCAGCATGTATAATTTATTAATTTGCTTATTGCTGTTTCTAGTGATTAAAGTTATATTTCATGCAAATAATCTTCTCCATTCTGAGCTGCCTACTGGCAACTCCCCTTAGAAGCCCCTCAGGGCCGCAGCTCAGCACCTCCCAGCCTTGTCATTCCTCTTAGACCTCCTAGTGCTTGTCATTCCTCTTAGACCTCCTAGTGGTAGCTGACATTTGCTGTCTTAGAGAAGGGCACCACTGTCCACCTGGGGCCCCAGGGAAGACCCTCGCCATCCGTTTTCTTCTGCCCATCTCCCCACACACTTGCAAGAGTCCTCAGGAAACTATGGCCACTCCCTCCTTAGTGTCCTTGGCATTACCTTTGCTCTCTGCTGACATTCTTGTGCCTTCATTCTGATTTCCAAACTTATTGACTCTTCCCGGGTCCTCCTACAATCTCATTTATGAATATACTTACTGAATATTTGATAAATATTATATAACATATTATATATTTATAGAATATATTATATAACATATTATATATTTATAGAATATATTATATAACATATTATATATTTATAGAATATATTATATAACATATTATATATTATAGAATATATTATATAACATATTATATATTATAGAATATATTATATAACATATTATATATTTTAGAATATATTATATAACATATTATATATTTGTAGAATATATTATATAACATATATATTTATAGAATATATTATATAACATATTATATATTTATAGAATATATTATATAACATATTATATATTTATAGAATATATTATATAACATATTATATATTTATAGAATATATTATATAACATATATATTTATAGAATATATTATATAACATATTATATATTTATAGAATATATTATATAGCTTATATATTATATAGCATATTAATATTTTATAAATATATAGCATAATTATATTGTGACAGTATAATGAATAACATAATATATACCATCTATATTATATGTAAAGTGTAAAAATATATAAGTATAGAAAATTAATGTGTTATACATGTCATTTACATAATTTATTTTTTAATTTATATCATTTTATTTTTAGTTTAGACTTAGTATTTTTTTTAACTCACTTATTTTAGTCCCATCTTAAGCAACAGTTTCCATGAGATTATGGGTTGTAGTACAAATTACCTGTGTTTTCTAATACACAATACAGTAAAAGTGTCAATAAACAACATGCAGCCTGGACTCATCCCAAGGAACATGGAAAACTCCTTTTGGGAATTTCTGTGTCAATTGTTGCCGTTTTCTTCTAACGTGGATTAATGTAGTCTCCTGCCTCCCTCCCCCTGCTTCTTTCTGGTGGTCCATCTCTGCTGTTGCAGGAATGTCTGCCCCAAACACAAACATGGTGCTGTCACAACAATTCTAAAATAATGCCCTGGCTCTCTCTCATTTCATGGTGACAGTCTGTAATGTAGATTCCTGCAGTTCAATACAGAGCTACAGAGCATCAAAGAGAAAGGGATCGTGATTCAATTCCAGGTTTTCCTAACTTCTTATCAGTGATTTCCCACAACCTTTTAATAGGTGTGAGCTTCAGTTTGTCATCTGGAAAATGGGGTAATAAGGCCCATCTCATGAGCTACTGTGAGAATTCTACTATACTTAGTCCAGTGCTAGACACATAATAATCACACAAACGGTAACATTAGTATTTTCATTATTGTATTCATCATTAATCATGACCTCTGTGATCCTTTGTTTCTCATATGTAACTGAGGATGAGGCATGATGAGGTTTTTGTTAGGATTGCATGACCGGTTTGGGGGGCAGTTAGGGTGGGAGAGAGTAGTGAAATGCCTGGTAGGACATGTGGCCTTTGGGGTTCACTAATGCAGGCCGTTATTACAGTAGCACTTATCAGACTCTGTCTCTCAGTTGAGAGGGCAGCTCCCTGGGGGCAGGCATCATGTTTGATTCTGCTGGACATTCTCAGGGCTGAGCAGCCTCGTGAACAGACCTGAAGTGGATAAATCCAGGGTTCTCACATCTTGTGCGTCATGGCCATTTAAATAGTCACTGTGTTTTCATCTGTGGTGTGGGGGCAGCCCTCCTTGTTCCTTCTCCTTGGTTCACGAAAAGCTAATTAAGAATGTGGATAAAATAACCTATCTTAGAGGAGGTGGTATGGCAATCTAATAAGCTAATAATAGTCTAATTAATGTGCTTTTTCTTAGCATAAAGTTTTTCTGCTCTTTTTCTGCCATAATGTTCTGTATCACTAAAGAAATTTAGCTTTTAACACTAGTTGTGTTGTCTGACTTTAAATTATTAAAGTAGATAATGAAATGGCTGGCAGTACAGTCAGAGATCATTGGTTGAAATCATTGCAGGGCATTTGTTTCTATTTTTTTTAGCTGTATTGAAAGAGACAGATTTTGTAGTCTGGTTGTAAGACTTGGTTGAAAGAAATACAAAAACAAATGTGTCTAGATGCAGTGGTGCTATGCTTACAATGCAGTGGTAATTTTAGGAGAGCCATGAGAATCTAAGGGCTCTAATAAGTGACAGATTAGCTTTAGCTATCTCACTGGTATAATAAGACACAGAGACTCTTCTCTGGGCCCGCTTGTGTCCCTCCAAGAGGATCACAGCATGTCCTACTGTGATCGTCCTCTTCTAATTCTTGATTTTACAAAATACCCTTGGATTTTTCAGCTCATCTCTAACATCACCTCCTCTGTGAAGCCTTCTCATTATTTCAGACGTTTTATTCTCTTCCTTTCCTGAGCAACATTTGCGTTTGTTACTGGTTTTTAAGCCTCCTCAAGTGGTTTTCTGTGGCTATGCTTTACCTTCTCAAGGACAGTTACAGATCTTTTTGCTTGTAAGCAACATAAGCTATGCCAGTGTATGCTGCCATCCAGTGTTGCTGTGGGACTGAACTAGGAGAGGGGCAGGACAGGAGCCAGTCCTCATGATAGTGCTGGGTGATGCAGGGATGGGAGTTGGATACCTGTCTGTTGATGGTTCAGATTCTTTTTTAACCTGGAATAATATGATAGTATTCATGGATCTGGACAATTGTACTTGCATGAAAATGACAGATTGTTATCCTGTTAATGGATTAACCATGAGGTTAATGTTCTCTCCTGTATATGTTTCCTATATTTTAATCATGGATCAGAAATAGGCTTTGAAAATGGTTGCACAGAGGATAGCAACATAGAAGACCTGGCATATATTTTCTTTTTGTTTACCGTTACTATTCTGCAGTGCAATCCTTGCCTTCAAGAGCTGTTAAAATGGGATTTCCAGCTTTATCAGTTAGTCTTAAAAGTGACCATCCCTGGCATCCATCGTCTCTAACTCCCGTCAGTGTCACCTCTTTCCTTTCTGTGATATACAGCCATTGGAGAGGTTTACTAAATAAAGTAAATTTTTGTCTGTAGTGGATATTCCCCAGCCTGAACTTGAGTCCTAATTGTTCGATGTGTATATATCTTTGTGAGGTTATTTCTTCTCTTGGGAAAATAGTTACTCTCTAGTCTCGTGTTTACTCATATATTGGCATTTATGTTTTGTGTGCCATGTGATTACATTAGGAGATGCAAGTAACTCTGCTTTGAAGCACTAGACATAGATGGTCTCTTTCTGTGGGTGTTGGAGACAGAGAAAGAATGCTAATGGAGAAAAGCCACCCAAGACAATACTACTTTTCCTTTTAGGAGTCAGTAGTCCTCTTGTCTTAGGAGAGACTTTTATTCCATTTTCCCATTTGTGCCACAAAATAAACTTTCTACCAAAAAACAAATGGATGGATGGCGTCTGCTCTCACAACTCCAGTCATATGCCCAACCCTGGAAACTGGCCACTCCAAGGATTAGCAGCTTGCTTCAGTTAAATCCGAGTGATTGGGCCTGTCTGCTCATGTTCAGAATTTCTGTCTGGGTTGTTGGTGTTTAATATCACGCCTAGTTTACAAAATTGTTTCAGTGAACTTTTTATCAATGTGTGAACCGTCCTGAGTATAGCAGATGAAGTTAATAGAACAAATTAGTATCTTAGTTAATATGTGTCAATTAAAAATCAATCAATCTAAAGCCTCAAGGGAGGGGGGTGCAAATGAGGAGCTAAAAAAGGTGTTTTCTAGTTTGCCCAGGTACTAAGCTATGATAACTTAACCATTCTGTGACCTTTAGTAGAAGAACTGTTTAGCTGGGTTTTGTGCAGTTACCTGAAGGGTTTGCATAAGTTTTTCTTAGTTTAAGTCCCCTGTTTCCAAATTTTACCTTCCTCCCAACAGTGTAGTCTGTGTGTGTAGACCCTGTACTTTCTTATTGCTCTCTCATTCATGTAGTATTTGGTGATTCTCTCAAATATTAGATGTGGCTGTAAAGGTAACAAGAGGAAAGTGATATTCCTCAAGGAATATGCTAAAAGATTGATTGCCTGGGTGTGAATATGGTCTTAGAGGGGAAGGTGAGGCAAAGGGAAGATGCTAGAAGACATACTAAGCCCCACTAAATGCTTTTTTTTTTTTTTTTTTTTTTTTGAGGCAGTCTTGCTTTGTCACCCAGGCTGGAGTGCAGTGGTATGATCTCGGCCCACTGCAACCTCCGCCTTCTGGATTTAAGCAATTCTCCTGCCTCCGCTTCCCAAGTAGCTGGGATTACAGGCGGGCGCAGCCATGCTGGCTAATTTTTGTATTTTTAGTAGGGACAGGGTTTTGCCATGTTGGCCAGGCTGGTCTTGAACTCCTGACCTCAAGTGATCTGCCCACCTCAGCCTCCCAAAGTGCTGGGATTACAGGCATGAGCCACCATGCCTGGCCCACTTAATGCTTTTAAATGCATGTGGCACAGGAACAAAGGCCACCAACATGACTAATGAGGAAAATTGTGATGCAGTATAAGAGAAGTCAGGATGTGTTTGCCTCATGCTTTATGGCTATTTTTTAGAAAGCTAAAATAACTAATATGTATCACAGTAACTAATGTGTATCATGTGCCTACTGAGAACAAGCACTATGCTAGGTACATTATACACATTGTCTCATTTCATCTACATTGTAGTTCTTATTCAGCCAGTGAGTAGCGAAGTTGAGAATCAAATTCAAATCTGTGACTTCAAAGGTTCTTTTGTTTTCTTTTTGCAGTAGGGCCTTTACTGTTAGGTGTGATTTTATCTGGAATGTATGAGAAAAGTTGTACCACTTTTTTCTGTCAGTTGTAATCATAAAACAAATAAATACCTCTTAAAAACTTATGATATTCAAACACTTGGTTTACTTTAATATAGATGAGGAACATAGTTTCCTCCGAATTTTACATTATGTTACCTTCAATTCACCACAGTTGATTTAAGGAGACTTGTAGAACAATCTTTATCCATAATTAGTTGTTCCATGAAATATGTATTATTTATTCTTTTTGTCTCTAGGGGTTGTTCAGAAAGAGCTACAGTGGTAGAATAGAAGCCAATACTCAATTACCCATGAAAGTGAAGTAGAGGATGGGAAAGAATGCTGATGACTGTAATAAAATCTCGATGTTATCTTAGTCTGTGCCGTAAGTGTGCTTCACTCTGGGATTCCCATCTTAACCTTCTAATTCAAGACTGAGAGCATTTTCTTTGACATACTTCTCTAGAGTAGACAGATATTCGACCAAATTAAGTGGCATGGTGCTCCAGGGAAAGATCTCTGGTAATCTTTATAAGAATATGAGGTACATTCTTCTAATTGCATACGACCAGTAGGTTTTTTCTCAGATGCCAGCCCCTATTAATTGGTTGTGACTGGCTGGAGCATACACAGTCTGAGAGTGATTCTTTAGGCCACAGAAGGGCTGCACTGGAAGGGACCGGATTGATTCATCCAGTCTGCCATGACTGGAGAGGGAAGGGAGTGGGAGCCTACGTGACACACATTTGCCATCACTTTCTGCCACTTCTCTATGCAAATAAATTATGAGTCCTTAAGTAAAAAAGTTATTCAGTTTCAAAAATAATCATTAAGGAACTGGTCTTAATTATGTTTTTTTCTACATGTACAGATCTGTCCCTGTCTAAGAAAGTTTATTTTAATAAATGTGGGATGAATGTGGTGAGTTGAAATGCTCTATCTTATTAACATTAAAGGTATGCAGATGTGTTGCCCTATTTTGTTTCTGTTAAAATTAGTGAGTCTGAAGTGTTAATAAACTGTCAGGCCACCAATTTCTCTCTTTGCTGCCTGTATTTACTTCCTTCCTTCATTTCCTTCCATCTTCCTCTTTTTTCTCTTGCTTTCTTCCTTCCCTCCCTTTTGTTCTCTTTCTCTCCCTTTCTCTCTTCCTTCATAACATCACAGAAGTTAGTCCCCAGCCACCAAACCTTAAATTTTTGTTGTACTGTTGCATGTTTGAAATTTACAAATACTTAATTTACATAACTGACATCAACCGTAGGCATCATCAATGCCTATAGTGTTGTGCCCTGTGAAAGAAAAGCCAGAATCTTTCTTGTGGCGTATAATGTTCTTTGTGATCTTACCTCTCCCATTCCTTCAGCCTCATTGTTTATTGACAGCATACACACATGCGCGCACACACACACACACACACACACACACACACACACACATTATTGGAATCATGTTGATTTGTTTGGAGAGCTAGAGCCAAAACTATGCCATTCTTTCTGCTTTCTGTGCCTTTTACCTAGAATATACCACTTTCACCCAGGTGCCTTTGGGCTCAGCACAGGTCTCCCTCTTCTGGCAAGCTTTTCATGACCCCAAAGGCTGACGTAGTTGTCCTTCTTCTGTATTAGTATCCCGTCATAATAGTAATACTAATGTAATGTATGATAAATAATGATGATGATGCACAACAGTGGGTAATTGTTCAGGTTTTTTTTTTGCTAAGAGCCATACCTGGATTATCTTGTAATTATACAACTGTTTCTTAAAGTAGGTATTAAGGCCGGGCGCAGTGGTTCACACCTGTAATCCCAACACTTTGGGAGGCCGAGGCGGGCGGATCGTGAGGTCAGGAAATCGAGACCAGCCTGGCTAACATGGTGAAACCCTGTCTCTATTAAAAAAAAATACAAAAAATTAGCCGGGCATGGTGGCAGGCACTTGTAGTCCCAGCTACTCGGGAGGCTGAGGCAGAAGAATGGCGTGAACCGAGGAGACAGAGCTTGCGGTGAGCCGAGGTCGTGCCACTGCACTGCAGCCTGGGGTGACAGAGCGAGACTCTGTCTAAAAAAAAAAAAAAAAAAAAAGTGAAGTATAGAGTGGTTAAATGACTTGCTCAAAATCACACTGCTTGAGAGCAGTGGAATCTTTTCAAATGGAATAGTGATTGTGGATTTACACAGATTTTTCTCCCCTTGTATTTTGAGTTCTTAGACATCATGGACCATTTTATTGATTACTGTATCTCCACCAGGGGCTGGTATATGATATAAGCAGAAAAAACAATTGTTCAATTAAATTTGATTGAGTTCTTATTTATAATGGATATAACCAGTCTTTCTATCACTTCCCCAAAATTTGTTATGTAGAAATATATAGTAAAATGGCTTTCTTTTTAAAAATTTCCTTCAGATTTTTTATCTTATTTGCCAATTTAAAAATCATGCAGCCTCAAATACCACCTTTTTAGTAGTATCCTTAGGTTTGAATTTAATGTGATACAAAAATACAGAATTTAAAAATTCCCACCATCTGAAAGGTTGAGCCAAGATTTATTTCTCTCATTCTTACTCTATGTATTTGTAATATAAGCACCTATGGAGGAATATAAGGAGGGGCAAGGGATGCTGTAAGTTAAGGGAGTAGTTGACTAACATGTCAGCGAATACATTCTGTCTGCCTCTCAGAATTCTGAGAGATTTCAGTCTCTATTTACTATCCCGCATTTATCAACAAGGTTGGTGATTCTTCTTTTTGATGGAGAACGCTCCTTAAGACGTATGTAGATTTTTGCTTTCTACTGTCCTTACTTTCTTCATCCTACCTTTAGGATGCTGTACTTTTGTGTTAGGCCAGTTAGCAATCTTGAAATACTTCCTGGTTATGTGTCATTCCCTACAGCATTTAGGGTAGAAAAAAATGGAGCCTAACTTGTGTTGTAAAGAAAACCTAACTTCATTGTGGCCACTTGATTATTTTTTCTTTAATCAAGATACAGCATTGAAAAAGAATATTTGTCTGGTTCTGAATCCAAGTAATACAAATGGATAATCTTTATTAAAAATCATCAAAACCAGCTGTGACCAACAGGTCTTACCATGTGGGTATTCAGAGCTAGTCCCATGATTTGTGCTTAATCACTGGCATGGCTGCTTGTGACAAACTTGCCACTTAATGTCTATTTTGTCATGGTATTTTAAAATCAGGGAAGTAACTATTAATGTAACAACATATGGCAGCCATTACATGGTAAACTAGAATGTTTTAAAAAGGAAGTTTTTGGAATTAAACACTGAGCTACAGCTTAGTGCATTTTTGCTTAACCTTGACTGTTATCAAACTGGGTTTAATGTGTTTCATAATACTGTATTCTAACTAAGTTTGAGAGCTTCAGTTAGAAAAAAATTTAAAAACTGCTAAAAAAAAATATTCCCTGTGGTTTTTGTTCTTAGACTTTGGGCTCATGTATCACATGCTTCTGGCATGTGTTCCCAGTTGCTAAGGCTCTGAGCAGTTCAGCCCGAAGAATCATTCTGGTCACTTTGTTCTTTTGTAGCTTCTTCATTGGTTTCAGCTCCAATAGAGCCTCTTTGTTGTACATAAGAAAGAACAGAAGAAAGGCTCTATCTACATCCTGTAGCTCTGAGGGAGACTCAGAGACTAGACTCTCTGACATTTCAGAGATGTTCATTCTCAGAGGCTTTCTAGCTTTTTGCCAGTTGGCAGTAGAGGGCTTTGCTCTCCCCCTCTGCTCCCACTCAGATATTATTTATCATAGGAGAAAAAGAATATTACAGTTGAAATAGGCTTCATTTTCTTCCTAGTCTCTTTACCCGCCTTCTGTCTGTAGAGGCAGCTGCCATTCAGAAACTCATGCATATCCTTCCGTTCCATGCTCTTATGTGTTCACTAAATAGAATCGTATTTCTAAACAATATAGTATTTGCATTCTTTCAATTTCATAGATGCTATGCTGTACCTATTATTTTACAACTTGCTTTTTTGTACTCAACATAATGTTTTGGATGTATAGTTTGGTTCATTTACATTTTTATGGCAACTGTTATTTTTGTACTTATTTCTGACATTATTTTGGGTTCGTAATGTTTTCACTGCTTCTATCTTTCTCCTTTCTTTCCTTATTTTGGGTGATGTGAAATATTTAAACATTCATTTCTTTCTCTGGCATTTTAGATGTTATGCAATTTATATCCCATCTTCTAGTGGTTACTCTTAAATTTTTAGCAAATATGTATATTTAACAGTGTTTAAGGTTGATCAGAATTTCTGTTTTTCTGTACAGTGTAACAATCTTTGGAGGCCTTCATTCTGATCTCCCTTCCTCCTTCCATCATACTATTGATGTCCCGCATTTTATTCATACCTTGCTTTTTTGACTTTCTCCAAATTAATCATATGGTTATGTTGATAACTATAATTATATATAGTCAATTTGTGTTTAGACTTACTAGCATGGTTACTTGTTTCTTTCTTTAGCTCCTTCTTTCTGGTTTATGTTTACTTCTTGCTGCATGCAGAGCACTCCTTAGCAGTCACTTCTGTTCTCAATCTGTGTATGTCTCAAAATGTCTTTCACCCTTTCCCCCTGAGAAATAGTTAGTTCTGTATAGTCTTCTAGGCTGACCATCATTTTGTTTTAGTACTTTGAAGTTTACAGTGACTTATTCTATATCAGTTTTTTTTATTTTAACAATCTGGATAGGAATATTTCTAAAATTTAGACATAATTTAAATAATGATTTTACAGCCCTTCTGCATTTGAAAAGAGGATCAATTAAGTCCCAGAGAGTCTTTGTTGAGGTCAACACTGTTATTTGGAACATGAGGCTTTGCATTGTGTTGTAATACAGTGATGTTCTCTGGTAATTGAGGTGTGCAAGAATGTTTGATTTTTCATTAGATGAGTTAAGACTGTTGGATTTTTTGAGACCTTGTATCTGCTTTTTAGTGGTGTGTGTATGTGTGTGCGTGTGTGAGTGTGTATGTGTCTTTCCTCTCTGTCAATACTTGCTGCTGTACCTGATTTACTTAATGTAATAATTGTTTTCCTTTAAGCACCTGTTTTTTCCCCATTGTATATGTTCGTTTCTCCTTTGCTGAAAACAAGGGCCTTAGATAACCAAACTGGTCAAGAATATATGGGTTCATTTGATGTTGTCATTGGCATTGTCTCTGTGTCCTTCCTGAAAAGATTTTATACCGGCTAAGTATGTGACAAGTCGCAGTATGCTTATTATGGACACAGGCTCTGAAGCCAGATTGCTTGGGTTCATATGCTAGCCCTGTATCATGTAACCCTGGCAAGTTCCTTAACCTCTAAGCCTCAGTTTTCTCTTCTCCAAGATGGAGATAATTGTAGTATACACCTTCTAGAATTGCTTCATGTTTTATATGAGTTAATACACACAACAGGCTAGAACAGTACCTGGTCCTGTTAACATGTGGTTAGTTAAGCATACTTTAAAACAGCTTTCAAGTTTCATCCCAAATACCGTGTGAACTGTGAGGTTCTATACAACTGAAGTTAAAAAAGTTTTCAGAATGAAAAATATCTAACTTGGAAAAAGACTAAACTAGGACGTAGTCTATTTCTGTTACCATGGGGCATTGAATGTAATGTCCAAGTTTATTTAAATATTTGCTTCTGCTGGAAAGCAGGAGGTCATCTAAGACCAGGGATGAAGATGTGACATTGGAGAAATCATAATGTAAATTAGTGGGTAAGCATTTTTTTGCTTTATAAATATTGATTTGCTTCCAACTTTTCAGTACAGCCTGATGCCCCCATCAAATGATGTGAATGCTGGAAGACCTGAACTTTAGCTTCAGGTTTTTCAATAACTCACACTGTGACCATGACCAAATTCTTTCAATTGCCTGTGCTTTAACTGGACTCTTCTAAGGGCAAATGAGATAATAACTATGACCTAGCTTTTAGCCAGCTTTTTAAGTGCTTAAAATAACTAAGGTGATGCTAATACATTTTAGCAATGTAGCAATATTATTACTATAATGCTTCAAATGAAAATGTAGAGTTTTTATCATTTCAGATTAAACTTTTAGAATCAAACACGTTGGCTTATATTTAATTATTTCATGGTTTGAGGCCTTACCAGGCTTATTTTATTTATGATTGGTTCCCCATCTACTTGCAGAAATGATTTAATGATACATACCAAAATTTATAAACCATTAAAATAAGTAAAAGACTGACCATGGAGGAACTTTGAATTTCTCATTTCATCTAACCTTTATTTTCATCATTTCCAGTAGCTACAATCAGTGATGTCAGTCTTTGTGTTCATCCCTTCTTATTCTACCTGAAGTTAGTTAAGGTTACATTTATTGGAGGCCAGATTTTGACACAGTGCTGAAGTGAACTATTATGAAAGAAAATAACATTTGTTGACACTATCCTTGTAGTCCTATGACCAGGCATCCTTAACAAATGATGAAACTGGAGCTCAAAAAGTTTAAGTAACTTTTCTGCAGTTACAGAGCTCATCAATTGTGGCATGTCGAAATCAACCCTAGATCTGCTTGACTCAATTCCAGAGTGCAAACACATAATCCATACACCACAGTGCTTTCTGTGATGTCAGTTCTGTTGAGAGAACCAAAAAGGGTAAAATGGTTACCTTAACAGAGAAGTTCAAAAGTGATTTTTAGAGGCAACTTGCATAAATTCCAAAGTAATGTGAATGTGAACATAATTGCATGATAATCTATCAACATGCATGCATTGCCTTTTTTGGGACCACAGAAGGTGCGGGCCTGGTGGTAAGAAACATGTGAAAGGGGAGTAAGATTCTAATTAAGTCTTAAGAGCAGCATAACATGGATTTATTATACGTAACCTTAACTATCACTGCATCCTGGTGGATAATTCTAGGATTTTTGACCTGTAGATAAAGCTCTTGCCTAAGTCAGGAGAAGACAATTTCAGAAACTCATTATTTTAGGAAATGACGAGAATACTTCTTTCAAAAATAGGTATAGCTGGAGTTTCTAGAGCTTTTCCCAATACTGACATTGCTCTAGATCTGTCTTTCCTTACCAATTTCCCTTCCTCCTCTTCCATGGCTAATTTTCCCATCTTTATATCGCAAGTTATTATTTAATTCATCTACTTGTCCCTCTCTGAAGGTCCATGGAATGCTAATACTTATTCATTTGGTCACTTTTACTAGGGACAGCAGAGTGGGTGTTAATGCATACTAATCATGTAAGGTTGATATTATTTTTATTTTTTTTTGTAGCTGAAGAAACTGAAGTTTACATAGATTAAATATATTGCCCCAAACCACTCAGCTAGTAAGTGGTCAAGCCAGAAATTAAATCCAAGCTTTTCCGGCTCCAAAATGTTGTGTGTGTGTGTTTCCTGTGAGTCACACTACCAGATATTCAGAGCAGTTGGTTGATATTTAAAAGGCATGAACAAAAGCCACCCACCCCAGAAATAACTCTACCACTCAATGGTTATTGTACTTTAAATTTCAATATTTGAGATGCATTTCTTCTGCATTGTTGGCTGCTCTCTCCATAAAGTGTTTTAAGTTAATAAATGTTATTTTTCTTTTATAAATCTTTACATAGCACATTAATGAATATTAAATTAAATGCAGGCATACTTTCAGCTGCTCAAGTAACAGAAAATCCACCTGATGGTGACTTTAACAAATGGGGTAGGTGGCTGCTGGTTCAGTGGCTTAAGATATCAGGGCTGGAATTACTGTGACTCTTTTGGTCTGTTTTTCATGGTCAGAGGGTGGTTGCTGCAGATCCAAGTATCACCTCTATTTAGGGCTGGAGGAAGGGAAAGAAGAGGTCTATGTCAGCCATGTCTGTCTTTTTTTAATCTAAAAAAGCAAAGATATTCTACTAAGTTCTCAAGCAACCGTTTGCTTATGATTTCAGATTGGAACTGCATCATATGGCTACACATAACTGCAAAGGAGTCTGGGGAAATTGATATTTCTGTAGTGCAGATAGGCAAGAGAGAAGGATGGGAATACTATTGGGTTAGCCACTTGATAGTGTTGCCTACAACATATGATATGTGTTCATTTTATTATTAAAATGACTTTCTGAAACAGCAAATAACATTATCTCCATTTTTACAGAGAGCAGAAATAAGGTTAACAAAGTTTGAAGGACTTCTCAAGGTCATGTAACAAGTTAGTAGCATATCTAGGATCTAAGCCTTAGTTTTCTTCGTTCTAGCAAGTTTTTTTCTTCATACTTTTCTCCTAGAGAGGAGTTGGCAATTCAGTGATTAATACTTAATTAGTTTCACATTCCTCCTCCTGGGTGGCCAGAGTGAACAGGGTTGCTGGAATGGGCATGAGACTTCAAGACAGAGGAAGGTTCCAGGATGGATGGTGAGGGAATGACAAGCATCAGCTTTGCTCGTTTCTTCTGAGTTTTGCTCAGGATTGGTGAATTCTGAACATAGCTTTTCAATTTTTTCCCTCCTGCAGTTCTGGGCTGAGGATCTTGGAGGAGATCTCAACGAGACCATTGAAAAGTCATCTCTCCCTTTCTGTTTGTCTTTTGACCTAGTCTGTGATGGGCACCTGTAGTCTCATTTCTTTGTTGACTGAATCCTAACAACACATTAATAAAGAAAACCTCATTATTTGGCTTTCTTCTGTAGTGTTTTTTGTGGGGTTTTTTTTTTTTTCCTTCACTTTGTTACATCCAAATGCTAGTTTCTAAGGAAGGAGGCTTTTTTTTTGTTTTTTGTTTTTTTTAATTAATACATTTCTGTGCATTTTTGTTTGGGGCCATGATCCCAAAAATGTCCTAAAAATGATATTGGAAGTTCCTTGTCATGGGTTATGTGAAGCTTCTGGTGGGAAAAGCACCATATACTGTTCCATGATGGAGCCTCCTCTGATCTCCTCTGTATTTCCTCAGCATTTTCTTTGTTTCTCTGTTGTAGTACTTATCACAAGGAAACATTAAGATGTAAATTTAAATATAAATCTTTCATGTATATTGCTCTTCCACATCAAACACTGAGAGGCTTTTTAATCCTTGTATCCACAGAACCTTACAAATAGAAGCATTCAGTAAGTGAATGAAAAAAAGAGAGCTTGGTTTTATTGAATATTTGGTTTAAAGGTTAACCAAGACATCTTATTTATTTTTGTTCATGCTGTTGAAAACAGTTATGTAATGTAATGGCTCAAGGATTTGTCTTAGTAAGCAGAATATTTTAGATGTAAATTGGATTCAGTGTGTTTGGCTGTGTACACTGTCATTCAGAACGTCAGTGATTACTTTCTAGTTTTGAAGTTTTGTACATGTAGACTGTTTGTTAGGATTTATTTGGATGTCTGACAACCTCATTTATTCTCATTCTTCCCTCCTCTGTTTTTTAACCATAAAAACTGCTTTTATTATTAACTAACTTATATTCATTTACTCACATCTCCAAAGTAAAAAAAAAGCATTAAATATTATATAATTAAAAGTCTCCCATCCATTTCTAGTGCCCAGCCACTCAGTTCACCTTCCCTAAGTGACTTTTATCATTAATTTCTGGAGTATTCTTTCAGAGATACTTTATGCACATACAAATACAAATATACCATCTCCCCTTTAACAAATCTGCACAAATAATAGCATGTACTTTGCTTTTAAAAAAAAAACCCTCAGTACTTACTTGATATCTCTTTTTAATAGCATATAACACGTTTCTTCATCTTTTATTTAATGGCATACTATTCATTTTATGGCCATTCATAATTCATTTAACCCGTTTCCCTACTAGATTATTCATATTATTTCCAGTTTTTTGCTAATATACAAGCAATGCTGCAACAAATAATCATGTACATTCACTATTTTTCACTCTTGCAAATATATTGATATGACAGATTTTATTCTAAGGAAATTGAATTACATTATCAAAGAGAATGTATGCTTATAACCTGATAAATTGCTCTCCTCCGATTGTACCAATTTACACTTCTGCCTGAGATATGCGTGAGTACTGTTTCCTCATACATTCAATGGTATTAACATGTAATAAAACTTTTACTGCCTATTCAATCTGACAGGTCAAAAAGTGATATCTCATTTTCTTCTTATGATTGAGGTTGGGCATTTGTTTCTATAAGTTTAAGAGCCATTTTCATCTCATTTTCCATGACCTAAGGCTTGTATCCTGCATTCATTTTTCTACTGTGCTGCTTGTCTCTTTCTTAATGTTTAAGAACTTTTATGTATTAGGGAGGTTAGTCCTTTGTGATAGGTGTTGTGAACGTTTTCCCATGGTTTGGTCCTTGTCTTTTTACTCTCTTTATTGTAGTTTTAGTTAATTGCAGAAAGCAAAAGTTTAATGAAGTCAAGTGCATTAAATGCATTAAAAGATAAGATGCAGTATTTTATCTTGAGACTCTGGAGTTTGTGTCAAAAAGGCCTTCCTTTCTCCAAGGTTATGGCCAGGTTCTTACCTGATTTCTTTTAATATGCTAGTATTTTCATTTTCACATCTATGTCTTTCAAACACTTGTATGGGTATGAGGCATGGGTTTAACTCTGCTTTTCTCCAGGTGGTTACTTAGTTGTCTCCAAATCATTTTTCCATAAGCTGTATTTTCCCCACTGATTGAGAGTCTACCTTTGTATTATTATGAAATTCTCAGTATATTGGGTCTATTTTAGACTTTCTGTTCTGTTCCATCAGGCTTTCAGTTATATTAAGTGCCAGTACCACCTGATTTTAATGATTAACTTATGTTTTAAAATTTATGTGGCTGCTTCTCCCTTGTTACTCTTCCTTTTCAGAATTTTCCTGGCTATTCTACTTACTTTCCTAACAAATATATGACTAAAATTATGTTTTTCAGTGTGTAATTTTTAAGCCCCAGTTTTTTGCTGAGCAATGCCCTGGATTATTTTCTAGAAGGTAAACCCAAGATGTTTAATGAATTGTCCCCGACTGCAAGAGCTTGCAGTTACCTTGCAGAGGAAAAGCACATGCAGAAGGTAGATAGGAGAAGGGTTCTGCAGCCGAGCTCCTTCTGGTGTACACAGGTTACCTCTTTGTGGGCAGGCCCCTCCTGCTAAACTCCAGCCCCTCTTCACTGATGGCTGGTCAGTGCTAACTAATCTATGATGATGAGCTTGAAGTATATTACATTTGGTTATCTGAGCAAATACAAAACAGTCGCACTGGAAAGTTCATGCTCATGGTGGGACATATTCTGAGGGCACATTCAGCATTATGCCTACAAGTTACTTTAGACCTCTGGCCAAGACTGTTAACCATCACCCTAGAATTAAGGTAGATTAAACTGTTCTTCTGACCTAAAATCTTTCATCTCTTAACAACCTCAGAATTGAAAATGAATATAGAAGAACTAAATAATATTAGTTCTTCTCATTACTTTAACTCACCTACAAGTGAGCTTAAAACAGATCATATATATTGTTAAGATTATATGGACTGTAATGAGAATAGTTCTACGGTTAGATTTTCATACTTGACAATGAATGAGTGTTGAATACCTGTGATGTTGAGAATGTTTTCATTTTCTTTATAGAATTGAGTGCATTAACATATCTCTCAACCTGGCAAATACCACTGGACAGTTTTTAATTGACGGCACCTAGCCTTGTCTCCTAGGACAGTTCTTTCCTTCCTGCTTCACTGCCTGCTGCTTTCCAGATCCTCTTACGTCCTGACCTTCCAAATGCCCTCCGCATTTGGGCTTCCTCTGGACTTGGCCTTGAGTACTGTTTTGTTCTCTTCACTTTGTCTAATTTTTCCTTTGATCTCATACGATTACCCAAATAACAGTTTTCTGAAATTTACTTCAGTAGTCCAGACTTCTCTTCTGAGTGACCTGCACTTGGCATATATACTCAGATGTAAATGGCCAAAATGAAACCTTTTATTTCTTACATTCCTTGCCTCCCTCCAGCCCTTGGCCCTTTGTACCCAGGAAATGGCACCACCATCCGCTGTGTTTCTCAGGGTAGAAACACAATAGCCATGTTTGCATCTTCTCTTTCTTTTATTGCTCCCACATCCAGCCCATCAGCAAGTTCTGACAAGATTTCTACTTTTGTTGTTGCTGTTGTTGTTTAGATGGTAGTCAGTATTTTATTATTTGGTGAATCAGGAGAAAGGGCTTTTGTTTTCTTAAGGGAGACTAGGAAAACTAATTAAGAGGGAGAAACCGGAAACATTACATAGGTGTTTTTCTGTGCCATACAGCATTTTTCTTTGTGGAAGAATTGAAAACTTTATGTGTGCCTCTATTAAATGGATATTTTTAAACTTTTATTTTGGTTCAAGGGTACATGTGCAGGTTTGTTATACAGATAAATTGTGTGTCGGGGGGTTTGGATTATATCATGTATGTAATAAGCATATAAGCATAGTACCCAATAGGTAGTCTTTTTTTTTTTTTTTGAGATGGAGTCTTGCTCTGTTGCCCAGGCTGGAGTGCACTGGCGCGATCTCGACTCACTGCAACCTCTGCCTCCCAGGTTCAGGTGATTCTCCTGCCTCAGCCTCCCGAGTAGCTGGGACTATAGGCACGCATCACCACACCTGGCTAATTTTTGTATTTTTTAGAGATGGGGTTTCATCATGTTGGCCAGGATGGTCTCGAACTCCTGACCTTGTGATCTGCCCGCCTTGGCCTCCAAAAGTGCTGGGGTTACAGGCGTGAGCCACCACGGTCAGCCTAGGTAGTCTTTTGATCTTCACCTTCCTCCCACCCTCTACCCTCAGGTAGGCCCTGGTGTCTATCATTTCCTTCTTTGCGTCCATGTGTACTCAGTGATTAGCTCCCACTTATAAGTAAGAATATGTGGTATTTGATTTTCTATTCCTGCATTGGTTCACTTAGGATAATGGCCTCCAGTCCCATCCACGCTGCTGCAAATGATATGATCTCATTCTTTTTATGGCTGTGCAGTATTCCATAGTGTACACATACCATATTTTCTTTATCCCTCTACCAATGAAGGGCATTTAGGTTGATTTCATGTCTTTGCTATTGTGAATACTGCTGCAGTGAACATACGCGTACGTGTATCTTTATGGCGAAATGATTTATAATCCTTTGGGTATGTACTCAATAATGGGATTGCTGGGTCTACTGGTAATTCTGTTTTAAGTTCTTTGAGAAATCATCAAATTGCTTTCCACAATGGCTGAACTCATTTACATTCCTACCAGAAGTGTGTAAGTATTCCCTTTTCTCTGCAACCTCACCAGCATCTGTTAGTTTTTTATTTTTTTGAGACGGAGTTTTGCTCTTGTTGCCCAGGCTGGAGTGCAATGGTGCTGTCTTGGCTCACTGCAACCTCTGCTTCCTGGGTTCAAGTGATTCTTCTGTCTCAGCCTCCTGAGTAGCTGAGATTACAAGCACGCAACACAATGCCCGGCTAATTTTTGTATTTTTAGTAGAGATGGGGTTTCACCATATTGGCCAGGCTGGTCTTGAACTCTTGACCTCAAGTGATCTGCCCCGCCTCGGCCACCCAAAGTGCTGGGATTACAGGCGTGAGCTACCATGCCTGGCCACATCTATTATTTTTTGACTTTGTAATAATAGCCATTCTAACTGGTGTCAGATAGTATCTCATTGTGGTTTCGATTTGCCTTTCTCTGATGATTAGTGATGATGAACATTTTTTCATATGCTTGTTGGCTGCATGTATGCCTTATTTTTGAATAAAGTCTGTTCATGTCCTTTGCCTACTTTTTAATGGGGTTGTTTGTTTCTTGTAAATTTGTTTGTTTCTTATAGATGCTGGATATTAGACCTTTGTCAGAGGCATAGTTTGCATATGTTTTCTTTCTTTTTATAGGTTGTCTGTTTACTGTGTTCATAGTTTCCTTTGCTCTGCAGAAACTCTTTAGTTTAATTAGGTCCCATTTGTCAATTTTTGTTTTTGTTGCAATTGCTTTTGGTGTCTTCATCATGAAATCTTTTCTAGGTCGTATGTCCAGAATGATATTTCCTAGGTTATAGTACAGGGTTTTTATTGTTTGGGGTTTTACATTTAAGTCTATAACCCATTTAGAATTGATTTTTGTATATTGTATAAAGAAGGAATCCAGTTTCAATCTTCTGCATGTGGCTAGCCGGTTTTCCCAGTACCATGTATCAAATAGGGCGTCCTTTCTTCATTGCTAGGTTTTGTCAATTTTGTTGAAGGTTGTAGATGTGTCGCATTATGTCTGCACTCTGTAGAACTCTGTATTTCTGCTCCATTGAACTATGTGTCTGTTTTTGTACCAGTGCCATGCTGTTTGGGTTACTGTAGCCTTGTAGTATAGTTTGAAGTCAGGTAATGTGATGCTTCCAGTATTGTTGTTTTTTTTTTTTTGTAGTTGTTGTTTAGGATTGCTTTGGCTATTCAGGCTTTTTTTGGTTCCATGTGAATTTTAAAATAGTTTTTTCTATTTCTGTGAAGAATGTCATTGACAGTTTGATAGGAATAACACTGATTCTGTAAATTGCTTTGGGCAGTATGGCCATTTTAACATTACTGATTCTTGCTATCCGTGGAATGCTTTTCCGTTTGTTTATGTAATTTCTGATTTCTTTGGGCAGTGTTTTGTAATTTTCCTCACAGAGATCTTTCATCTTCTTGTTTGGTTGTATTCCTAGGTATTTTATTCTTTTTGTAGTTATTATGAATGGGATTGTGTTCTTGATTTGTCTCTCAACTTGAATGCTATTGGTGTATAGGAATGCTACTGGTTTTTATAGAGTGATTTTGTTTTCTGAAACTTTGCTGAGGTTGTTTATTAAATCATTGAACTTTTGTGCAGAGACTATGGAGTTTTCTAAGTATAAAATCATGTCACCTGCAAACAGGGATAGTTTGAATTCCTCTCTTCCTATTCGGATTCATTTTATTTCTTTCTCTTACATGATCGCTCTAGCTAAGACTTCCAGTACTGTGTTGAATAGGAGTGGTAAGAGAGGACATCTTTGTTTTGTGCCAGTTTTCTAAGGGAATGCTTCCAGCTTTAGCCTTTTCAGCATGATGTTGGCTGTGGGTTTGTCATAGATTGCTCTTATTATTTTAAAGTATGTTCCTTCAATGTCTAGTTTGTTGAGGGGTTTTAACATGATGGCCTGTTGAGTTTTACCAAAAGCCTTTTCTGCACGTATTGGTGAGATTGTGTGTGTTCAGGGTAGTATGGCCATAGACCTTTTCTGCATCTATTGAGATGATCATGTGATTTCTGTTTTTACTTCTGTTTATGTGATGAATCATGTTTAATGATTTACATGTGTTGAACCAACCTTGCGTCCCAGAGATAAAGCGTATTTGATTGTGTTAGATTAGCTTTTTGATGTGCTGCTGGATTCTGGTTGCTAGTATTTTGTTGAGATTTTTTGCATCAACGTTCATCAAGGATATTTACCTGAAGTTTTATTTTTTTGTTGTGTCTCTGCCAGGTTTTGGTATCAGGTTGATGCTAGCCTCCTGGAATGTGATAGGGAGAAGTGCCTTCTTCTCAATCTTTTGGAATAGCTTCAGTAGGAATGGTATCAGCTCTTACTTATATTAATATATCTGATAGAATTCGGCTATGAATTCCTCTGGTTCTGTGCTTTTTCTGATTGATAGGCTTTTTATTACTGATTCCATTTTGGAACTTGTTATTGGTCTGTTGAGGTATTTCATTTCTTCTGGGTTCGATCTTGGGAGATTGTATGTTTCCAGGAATTTTTCTATTTCCTCTAAGTTTTCTAGCCTGTGTGCATAGAGATGTACATAGTAGCCTTTGAGGGTTTTTTTTTTTGTTTTTTTTTTTTGTATTTCTATGTGGTTGGTGGTAATGTCCCCTTTGTCATTTCTGATTGTGATTATTTGGATCTTCTCTATTTTCTTTATTAGTCTAGCTAGTGGTCTATCTATTTATTCTTGCAAATAGCCAACTCCTTGATTGTTGATCTTTTATATGGTTTTCTGCTTCTCAATTTCCTTCAGTTCAGCCTGGATTTTGGTTATTTCTTGTCTTCTATTAGCTTTTGGGTTGGTTTGCTCTTGTTTCTGTAGTTTCCCTAGGTTGATGTTAGGTTTTAAATTTGAGATCTTTCTAACTTTTTCACATGGGCATTTAGTGCTATAAACTTTTCTCTTAACACTGCTTTAGCTGTGAGCCAGACAATTTGGTATGCTATAAGATCTTTATGTCCAGTGCACTCATTGTCTCCATTTCCATGACAGTCCCCCAATTTAGGTGACGAGGTACAACAACCAATCAAATGCAGTAGAGCTTCCTAACTTTTATCCTTCCTTCCACAACTGCCCCTCTTCACCCTGTTTTCCCCAGAGCAGTATGGGTGAGCCCTTCAGGCTATAAATCAGATCACATCATTCCTCTGCCTAATACCCTTCAATGGGTTCCCACTTGGCTTAGATTGAAATCCTGTTTGGATACCATGGGTCAACAAAGGCCTGCTTATCTGGTCCCAGTTAGTCTCTTCAAACTTATTTCCAGACTGATCTCCTTTCATGCTGCCCCTTGATCATTAAGTTTCAGCCACTCTGATGTTCCTTCATTTCTTTATGTATGCTAAGCTTTTATGAAGCCCAGGGCCTTTACATGTGCTGTTTCCTGTGCCTAGAATATTATTCCTCTGGTTGTTTACATGACTGGCTTTTCTCTTAATCCAGATCTTGCATCAAATGGTACTTATCCAGAGGTTTTTCCTGATGACCACATCTACTGTCATCTCTAATGCATTATTCTCTATTTCATCTCTTGTTTCTTTCCTTCATAACAATGTCCAAAAGCGTAATTACTTTATTCGATTTCTTTACGTCTGCTTTCTTGACTATGTTTTTTTTTTTCTTTCTTTTTTTTTTTTCCTAGCAAAAGTTAGTTTCAATGGGCAGATTCTCTGTTCATCATAAATGCTGCTGTATGGCTGGTATGTAGACCAATACCTGGCACATAGTATTTAGTACACTGGATAAGTAAATGAATAAACAAGCAACATTGAGGGTCAGGATTATGTGGAGAATACAAGTAAATATTTTTCCTCAATTTCAGCATTAAAATATATGCTATGATAAAAAAAAATTTCAGGTATTAAGACCTTTGATAGTAAAAAAACAACTATGTAATAGAACATTTTAGTGAGGAAGTTACCAAAGAGGAAAGTTATCTGGACTCTATGGAACTGCAAAATTATGCTGCTGCAATGACTTATTATTTAGGTGAATGTGTCTTACATTCACTTGCATTATGCTTCGGTATTCTCAGCTTCCACAAGCACATTTAATTGATATTAGGACCTATCCAGTGATTAGGATAGTCACTGTTAACTGAGAAATAACAAGGAAGTTTATTTATCAAGCATTTCTTATCCTCCACTAGGTAGACACGGAGTCTCACTAACAAGTAGGGGAGACAGTCTTATTAAGAAGTCTTTTATTGTCCTTTATGTGACAGCATCAATAAGAAGCACATATGAGGATCATGGTGGAACAAAGGAGGGAGTTTCCAGATTTTTACAGGGCATCTACTACATGCTAGAGGAGCTGACGTGGAGTTTGGTCTTGAAGGAATACAAATTTGCTAGATGGAGACTTTCCAGGCCATGGGACAGAATGTACGAAGACCCAGAAGCATGATTAGGTTGGTGTGTTCTGGAATCTCCAACTATAGGGAGATGTAAGTAGAATAGTAGGCAATGAAGTTGGAGAGATAGGCAAAACCAGATTGCAGAATGGCTTGTGTGCTATGGGTATAGATTAGATTTTACCCATCAGGCCATGGTGGGCCTTTGAATGGTGTTAATCTTGAATTAAATTTTAAAAAGGTCATTAGACAATGGAAGATAGGAGGAATATGGTAATGGAGAGTGAAGGATCAGACTACCCAGGGAAGTATAGAGTGAGAGAAAAGTCAGAGATGGACTCTGGTAGTGTGTTGGTTAATATTGTGGGGACACATCCAGACCATACCAAGTAGGGACACAGAATGGAGAGAAAGACAGTGAGATCCTTAAGAGTGGCAGCAGATGGAAAAAGCAACATGTCACAGAAGCCAAGGAAAGAGATCCTTCTTAGGGAAGCAGGAATGACAGGACAAATGAGATAAAAATTAAGATGGGAGGATCAGATTTCATAATGAAGGTATCTTTAGTGACCTTAGCAAGGGTAGTCTTGGTAGGTTAATGGGAGCAAGATCTGCCTGGAAGTTGTTTGAGAATGAATAAGTGAGAAAACAAACACAACCTAGAGTAGGCATGGAGCCAGCCCTGGTTCTCTTTGTTTGGGTGTTTTGTTTTTAGTCAACAGTAGAAGTTTGACTTTGTAGACTCTACTGAGAGAAAAGAGGCACAGGAACTAGACTATAGGCTATTGATGCAAGAGAACTGGATTTTGGTGAAACATTGCTTTAGACACATGAAGCAAAAGGGACGGGAAATAAGGAGGAAAGGGTGTGGCTGTAGGTAAGATTGTGGCTAATGTATCAAATAGAGGGTATTTCCTCTGATACTGTGGGGAAAGTGCATGCTGAGAGAAAGGGGAACAATGGCGGCCCTCGAGGAAAACAACCCATGGTGGATGTGGGAATGATCACAAGGTGACTCTGAGGGGTCAGCTGAGCTTGAAGGCACAGGTGGGTGGTGGCCATAGGCCACCTGCAGCAGCCTGGATATCAGGTTCCAGATTGAGAGTTTACCTGGACAGGATCACCTAAAGGTAAAGGATGATGCTGCTGAGAATGGCAGTAGGATTATGGTTGAAGGAGTGAGACTCAATAGAGAGAACCAGCCTAGTTAGGGAAGTGAGCAGAGGAGTAGTGAAAAGGGCCTGAAAAAAAGAGAGTAGAGTGAGGTGCGAGGAGCAAGTGCATTGGGGAGAATGGAAGGAGGGCCAGTCCTAGAAGGAGGAGGCTTATTTGTAAGCAGTATATCGGAGTGATACATTGAGACTTGACATTTCTTTACCAGATAAATACCTTGGAAAGTATTTATCCTGAGTTTGTATTGTTGTCCAAAACATTATGGGGAATAACTTTATTGGAACTCAGCTGGGACTTTGCCACACAGCTTTTGACTATTTGGAGTCTTGGTGATTCTTAGCCCGTTTGGAAGTGGATTTGATTTTTGCACACTGCCGGGTCATTCAGGGTCAAGTTTGGTAAATAAAGTAGACAATCAAGCTGGATAATAACATTTTTGGTAAGAATGGAAATGTGGATTTAAAGAACAGTGCTATTTTATTTATGTGACTTGTAATAGTCCCTGATAGTAATTTCCAAAGGCAGCAATGACAGTATCTTTGGAATATATATAGCTTCTCAAAACAAAGGTCTTCCTAATACGTGGGACTCTCAGCATTGAAGCATGGCTGGCATCCCTGGCTTCTGGGCCCTAAGTGTCAGTATCCCTTGCAAGTCCTTGTGGCAGTCAGAAAAGCCATCACACATTTCCAAATGCTTCTGGTTGTCTCTAGACTGCCAGGGCCTGGAGGACTTGTTTACAGAGAGCCAGGGAAGAGAGGAAGATACTCTTTTCTGTCCCTTTTACTCTTTATCTATATATCTATTTATTTACTTTGCTTTCTCGCTGGTTTTTTCTTCTTAAAAAATTTTGTTTGTTTTCATTGATTGTGGTGTAAGGAATGACAGAAACAGGAGGAAAAAGGGAACTTTATTAAATAAAGATTGAAAGTAAATGAATAATCCAAGGGAAGGCTATGGACGAATAGAAGAAAAGAGACAGAAAATAGAGTAGTCGTGGGGAAACTGGAAGAAATGTTTCTGCCACATTTGTCTGTGGTCTCTTGTGATTTTCTCTGAAGCCAAGAATAAGATTTCCTGTAAGAACGCTCATGTGTTGTTGCATTATAGGGTATAACTGATTGCAGAGGCACCCTAAATAGATTTCACTGAGAATATAGTTAGAATTGTGTAAGGCTTTAAATCCAGACTGAAAGAGGAAAACAACTTGTTATAAGGCGAGTCCATTTCGACTTCATCTGAGGGGGTTTTCATGACTGATAGGCTCAAGCCCCTGTTTTAAAATGATGATGTTTACGTGATTGTCCAGGAACTTTGAACTTCAAAACAGTTTTAGCTCCTGAGTACCAAGTTTTTAATTTAATTTGTACAAAATGAATACCAATACCCTTTACTAAAAATAGTATACCTGGCTAGCATTTAAAAGTTATAACCTTTAGCTTGCCATGATTGCTAAAAGTCATCTGTTGTGTGTTTTTAAAATCTGCACTAACACTTGTGGACCATTCATGCCATACTGAAGCTGATTTTCTACTTTATTTTTTCAGTTGTTCATGGTGGACAATGGAGCAGATGACTGGAGAATAGCCATGACTTATGAGCGTATTTTCTTCATCTGCTTGGAAATACTGGTGTGTGCTATTCATCCCATACCTGGGAATTATACATTCACATGGACGGCCCGGCTTGCCTTCTCCTATGCCCCATCCACAACCACCGCTGATGTGGATATTATTTTATCTATACCAATGTTCTTAAGACTCTATCTGATTGCCAGAGTCATGCTTTTACATAGCAAACTTTTCACTGATGCCTCCTCTAGAAGCATTGGAGCACTTAATAAGATAAACTTCAATACACGTTTTGTTATGAAGACTTTAATGACTATATGCCCAGGAACTGTACTCTTGGTTTTTAGTATCTCATTATGGATAATTGCCGCATGGACTGTCCGAGCTTGTGAAAGGTAAGTTTGTTTCTTTTCCTGAGAACATAATTTACCATGTGGTATCTTCACAAGTAAGAAAAAAAAAATTTTAGACTTGAGACGTGTAGTGTCTCACTCTTAAAAATTTTGGATTTTCTGACAGGCTTCTTTGAAATGACTGTGACAAAGCTTTTCTGAAGATTTTTTCGTAGAGCAAATGCCTTCATGCTTGTGTGTTTTCTTTCTAATTTGATCAGTTTTCAGTAGAGGGCTGCCTTTATAATTTTGTGCCAAAATTTGGAGACCTAGAAATTGTACAGGACACTTTTATTGGAAATGTGAGTTTAATGGTAATATTGAGTCATTTCTGTGCCTGATTGCTTATGAGCGTTGTTTGTTGTTGAGACAGAAATCCTGTCAAACAGTGTTGATGCAAAATGCCTGGGCTTTAGGGAATATCTTAAAGCGGTTTGTTGGTTTTAGTGCCTGTATATAATAGTTTTCAAATGATTACTTGATAAGGAGGTTATGGGTATGCGTATTAGTTTGTACTGAACTTTCAACAATTAGTAAGAACAGGCAATGTGTATTTGTTTTAATGTCTGCAGCGCTCTGGTGGTCTAGACCTAGGCATATATTCTCAGATTTCAGGAGTGGCTCAGTGATCTTAATCAGTTATACGTTAATAATGTTAACTTTGCCATTTAAGAAAAATAGACTTATGACATAAGCAGGAATAGTTGTCTCATAGTGGGCTACAGAGTACCCTCACATGACCTTGGTTAAGAAAATTCAAGTTGAAATTAACAGTAGAGACATAGGAATGATTTAGACATTTCTAGGAGTGTTGAAAGTTCAGATGTTAGTCTTTGTAGTTTTTTTTGTTTTGTTTTGTTTTGTTTTTTTTTTTTGAGACGGAGTCTCGCTCTGTCGCCCAGGCTAGAATGCAGTGGCCCGATCTCGGCTCACTGCAAGCTCTGCCTCCCAGGTTCACACCATTCTCCTGCCTCAGCCTCCCGAGTAGCTGGGACTACAGGTGCCTGCCACCATACCTGGCTAATTTTTTGTATTTTTAGTAGAGACGGGGTTTCACCGTGTTAGCTGGGATGGTCTCAATCTCCTGACCTCGTGATCTGCCTGCCTCAGCCTCCCAAAGTGCTGGGATTACAGGCGTGAGCCACCGCACCAGGCCGAATATTTTTTTTTTAAATTTGGCTTTTGAAAGTCAAGGTTATACACTCAGATAGTTCAAGGAAGAAAAACAGCTATATGAGAGTTGCTGGAAAAAAAAAAAAAAAAAGGGTAGTGAACCCTGACCACCCCCCAGCCCATTCCAGCTTTCCAGAAGCATTCACTTTAAATCTGTTTAGCCATTCTCTTGGTAACTGCTTTTTATAGTTTTGTATTTTAAATACAAAAATAAATTGTATTTTAAATACAATTGCTTATGTTGCTGCATCTAGATTTTTTGTTGTTGTTTTGGAGCTATCTATTAACTTTCTTCTGTGGAAGTCAGTTTTTTTTTTTTCCCCGTATATAAACATACCCCTTTCACAACTTCACTCCTCCCCAAAAAAGTGATTTTTATCTCCCTATCTCCCAGTAAGATATATAAACCCTAAAATCTATATTCTATGTTTACATTGTTATTACTGTATAAACTGCATTTGTAGCTGAACAAGATAATATATCGTAATCATTTTTCCTTTCCTGCACAATTTTTTTTTTTTTCTGGAAGAAATAGTTGCCTCATTTTTTATTTGCTTAGTTTTCTGTATACTTGTCACTAAATCATCTCTAAATTCTCTCACATTATATAAATACCTTTTACTCTTTTCAAATATATTAAGCAATTCATCAACTTCACCTTGAAGAAATGACTCTTGGAACATTCTGACTTGCATCTCTATCATGTTGGGGACTTTCTTTGCCTTTTTTGTATGCTCAGTAGCCCCTTTCTTGAACCCCATTTCACCCTCTTTCTTCGTTCTTTATTTTGGTGGAATCTGTCTTCCAGTAGTTTTGAAGCAAAGGTAGTATATAAGAGAGATATTTTTGAGATCTTGCAGATATGGGAGTCTTTAGTCTTCTCTCATGCTTAACTGGTAATCAGCTGGATATAAAACTCTAGATTGGAAATCACTTTACTTCAGAATATTGAAGTATCCATTTTCTTCTGGTATTCAGGGTCTAGCAGTCTGATGCCATGCTCCTTTTTTATTTATTTTGTTTCTGGAGGCTTCTAGTATTGGTATTCTAAAATTACACAAGGATGTAATTTAATGCATCCTTGTAAAATACAAGGATGTATTTTAATCCATGGTACTGGGAACTTGGTGGACCTGTTCAATCTCGAAATTCATGTCCTTCAATTTTTGGAGATTTTTCTGAATTCTTTAATGATTTTTGTTCCTATTTTCTGTTGTGTAGATAATGGCCCTCCTATATTATTCCCTAATTTTCTTATTCTTTGTTTATAGTTTTCCATTTGTTTTTGCTCTATATATGGAAGATAACCTCAAATTTATCTTTCACACTTTCTATTGGGATTTTACTTCTTCTGTATTGTGTATTAATTTCCAGTGTCTAATTTTTGATCCCTGAATGCCTTTTTTTTAATAGCATCATGCTTTTCTTTCATAGAAACTTTTCTCTGGAGATGTTAATTATGGCTTTTTGAAATTTTTCTCTTTGCATTTTGTTTCCCCAAAGATGCATTTTTCTTTTGTTTTGGCTTCTGTTTTAGGAGCTTTGCATACATACTTCAAATTTGTCAGCTGCAGGCTTTATTAAAGGGTGATTTGAGTGGGGGACATAGAACAGCAATTTCAATACCTTTACATATTTTGTGTCTTCTCTGACCATCTGACCAGTGCATCGGAAGTCTTTTCTGCTCTTCTGCCATGAAAGCAGAAGCCTGAGGTGACAGCGTCTTGGGAATTGAAACACAGGGCAAAGAAGAGGTCTCAACAGTTACTATGCAAGCATTTGCTTGTTCTCCTGGTATCAGTACAGTAGCTTGCTCTCTCCAGTGTCTGATGCCCTGCAGTAGGTCCACAGACCTTGTGTTGTACTGTCTCCAGATAATAGATTTTCAGACTTCTGCCAGGTTGCGAAAGAACAGTTAGTGTTTCTACAAAGCAGAAGAGGACATCTGTGTGTCTAACTGCCTCTATGCCTTTTTTGAACCTGTCCTCCCTTTCGAAACTCTATGGTTATCCCCACATGCAGAAGTACTGGTGCCAACAGTGCCTAAGTCATGGGTGAGGGGTTTGGTTCTCAGTGCATGTGCGGTTGCCTCTTGGTTTTTCACCACTGTTGCCACAGAATTCTGCATTCTCATGTCAGGTAAGTCAGTGGCCACCTGTCGACTGGCTTTCTAGCTTTTTTTTTTTTTTTAACTACTCTTCTGTCATTCATTCTTGTTGTCCTTATGGGTTTACATGCTTTTTTGCTGTCTGCTTGTTTTAGTATTATTTATAATCATTTTAAGGTTGTTAAGGGAAGGAGCTGAGGCCAGCATGTTTGTTGAGCCCACCTGTTTATACCAGAAATTTGGTAGTGACTAGTTTTTAATATCATGTCTCTGAACGTTTTTTTAGAACTTCTCTGCGTAAATATGCCATTTGAGGGATTAACGTTTTCTTTTTAAGGAAAGGTAGACTCCTTATGGTAATGCTTTGTTTCCTAGCAATCATGGTATTTACAGGCTTATGATATTTTCTGGAGCAGATGTACCTTATGATGGTTGAAGAATAAATATGGAAAACTCTAGTTGACATACCTATTTACTGTATAAAGATAAGCCCTAATTAAAAATTATGCATAACAATGTAACAATGAGGGAAATAGCCAGGTCTGACAATATATACATCTCCATGGGTGGTCTCTAGTGCATCTGCTTCCAAAGGCCAATTAAGAGAGCCTCAAAATTGTGTACATGCCATATATTTTCTTTTCAAAAATAGTTCATCTTAGCTGTTTTAACCCATTATCACTAAATACAGAATGCCAAGGCAAGCTGTGCCACATTCGCTTAGCAGCCCCAAGTCTGTGTGTTTTTTAACATGCTCAGATTGTGAGGTGATGACCATTGCTGTTTTCATGTAAAGAGGCAATAAAAGGTGAAAACTGTTCATTTCATAGCAAGAATGAGAGTGTGTAGCCAGCAGGTACATAAAGGAAACAAATCTGTGACAGTGTGGTGGGGAAGGGACAGAGGCCAAAACTCTGGATTGGGACACTGGGATTTAGTCTCAGTTGTGTAATTTAGGGGCTGAGTGACCTCAGGCCAAACATCTCATGTCTTTTTGCCTTAGTTTATTCATTTGCCAACTAAATGGCTTGTTAAGACTTCTTCCCAACGTAACGTTTTATCATTACACAAATGTGTAAAAGAAAAAAAAATTATTAACCAGCATTGTGTTAATAGAAGATTTTCCACATTTGGTTTTTATTAAACTTCCCATTTTGCTGCACAAATTCTCCAGATTGTGGTTTGTAAGATACAAAGATAAAAAAAAATTGTTTTTCCGTAAATTTGCAATTTGGAACATGATGTCACCAGTATCTTACGCTTCCTTGATAATTATTTTCTGACCCTTTTTTTTCCCCTCTTATATGAAGTTTACAATACTAAATATAACACACAGCTTTTCTATTTATTTGGTTTAGGATTTGGATTTGAATGAATCCTACCAGTTCCATCTTTGGTCCATCCAAGCATCCTCTCCATGTAAAAAGGGGAGATTCACATCTGATAGAAATTTTTATTTTTAGTTAATTAGATATCTAAAAAGAGACTTAGATTTTTGGACTTTTTTAAAAGGAAAGAGCTAGAGAAAAAGAGAAACAGCTTTCTAGAGAAGTTTGCATTAAAAACCTATTCCTGTCCTTCTAGGAGCACAAGATTCAGGATTTCTATAAGTTTCTAGAAATTGTTCTGTATTAATGGGGAGAGCATCCTATGGGAGGCATTTATTCCTTGTGGTATTATTTTCCCTGGCATATCATGTGCCTCTGAAATTTTTTACCTGTAGGTAATAAAAATTCTCTCTCTCTCTCTCTCTCTTTTTGGTGAATGATAGGAGGAAGCAGAGAAGGAAGAATCTAGCATTATTTCTGTGGCCTACATTTGTTAATAAGCAGCTTCCCCAGACCAGACCACAGTAATCTACTCTTTCTCTGGTTATGGTTTGGCTTTGTGTTAAGGTAGGCATCAGTTCTAGGAAGAACACTGTCCTCTTAAGCAGCTGAGAAGTGTGGCCTAGTGCTGCTAAGCGATCTCATGTTCATGGGGTCCCAGGCCAAGGCATTTAATCACAATGTATTAGGAGAAATTTCAGGAACATTTATGTTTTAGAAGAAACCTGAAACTCAGAGCTTGGGGTCCTGAAGATTGGGAATTATCCAATCCTGACTTGTACCTTTTGAGACTTCTCTAGTTTTGTAAAGATAGCGTACGTAGGCAGCTATTCACCCCAAAGTGTGTTTTACTGGGCACCGTTTCTGAGCAAGAATAGTAGCTATTTTGCAACAGGTAGAACTGGATATTGTGGGTCAGTGCTGTGTTACACAAAGAAAGGAGTTTTGTTTCTTTTTCACTGTAAGAGTTCTCAGAGCATTTAGTATATGTATATGCATTAGAAATCCTCAAGAGGGAAAAAGAGTATTTATTTGGCCATGCTTTCTGGGAAACATACTTGACATATGACAATACTGAAGTTTTGGAGATAGAAAGAAATTGAACTTTTCTGCACAGTTTGGATTCAAAATAATGTTTCTGTGTTCAATGAAATCTTTTCCTTTTTGACATAGGTTTGTAATGCTGTGTTAGGGGGCAAATTGGGGATGGAAAGGAAAAGAGAGAGCAAAGGTGAGTTAGGTATTTAGGTGGTAGTGTTCCCAAGCAGAAAAGCAAACATTGTGATAATATATAATAAATTGGAGATTCCAGGTAATGTTTGGAATGGAAAAGGGTCATTTGGTTAAAAAAGTGGCCAACTATTGTCCTTTCTTTTCCCATTATTTTATCTCTCAGGGCACTTAAATATGTATTAACTAGGTATCATTTGTTAAGGAACATTTTCTAAAAATGACTTAACAATAATTTGCTCTTTTTGAAAGCAGACAAACTGGAGAAGCATAATGCAACTTTTGAATACCTTTGGATAATCTAAACTGCATTTTAGATGAATAAAGAATAAATTCTTGTGATCACTGAAAACTGATAGATGAAAATAAATTAGGTATTTATTCTCAAATTAGCATAGAGAACCTGAGGAATAGAGACTTCAATTTCAGTTGTGTTTAGAGTCTACTATTCAGTGTCTTAAAAGTATATTTTGTTCTTTCATTAGAATAATCCAGGTAGATTTCACTCTATTTTTTGTCACCCTGTCACTAATACTCTTCTATGTTGTATTATTTTGTTTTCGTTTTTAATTTCCTGGAAGATGATTTCTGAAATGCAGTTGAAACATAATTTATTATTATATAGTCTGTTAGAGAAGCACAACCAAGAGGATATAGATATAAATATATGAGAGGAGATTTATTAGAGGAATTGGCTCACAGGATTATGGAGACTGAGAAGTCCCAAGGAGAGGCCATCTGCAAGCTGGAGACAGGGTATGCTGGTATATGTGGCTCAGTCCAAGTCTAAAAGCCTCAGATCCAAGGAAGCCAGTGGTGCAACTCTCAGTCCAAAGCTGAAGGCCTGTGAATCCAAAGAGATGCAGGTGCAAGTCCTAGAGTCCAAAGGCTGGAATGCCTGAAGTTCTGAGGCACAGGACAGGAGTCTGAAGTCTAAGGACAGGAGAGGAAGAATGTCCCAGCTCCAGGAGAGAGAGAGAGGGGGCGGGAGAGAGAGGAACTCACCTTTTCTCTACCTTTTTTGTCCTGTCCTAGCCCCCAGCCAGGATGGTGCTCACCCACGTTGAGGGTGGATCTTCCTCACTCAGTTCGCTGACTCACACACCAGTCTCCTTTGGAAACACCCTCACAGACACTCAGAAATAATGCTTTACCAGTTCTCTAGGTATTCCTTAATCTAGTTAAGTTGACACCTAAAATTAACCATCACATATGGTATATTGTGGAATATTACAGTCAAATCATGCCCCATAATAAAACTATATACAACATAAGTTTTATATAAAATAGCTGCTTTTAGCACAAGGATCAGTTATGTCTTCTGACATCAGTAGTATGAAGGAGTTGCTAAGGGAAAGCTCCTGTAGGATGAGAGAATATCTCATTTTGTAACTAGACAGATTTCTAGTCTCTTAGCACTAATTTATAGAGGATATGAGATTTGGGGTCCCACTTTCTCTGTATCCCTATAGAGAATATGTAATTTGGGGTCCCACTTGCATATGGAATATGGGCATTGAATATAATCTTGTACATACTGATTTAAAATGAATACCCTTGTTCCTGAGCACCAATAAAACAAAAAATAGGATGGTAGTTGTTTACATCTAGTAAATTAATTTAGCATTGCAGTGGATGTCTTTTAATAACTTAATCTGTTCCTCTAACACCACATGTATTCATTACTTCTCTTTGTAGAACATGCTTTTAAATGAACTTTAAGATTCAATATGTGATCAACTCTGTATCTTAAATGATCTGGGTTCTAATTTTCAAGTTTTCCATTTCAAAACAGTTTCAGTGTTTTTTATCTGTTTATATAACATAAGCCAGTTGTCATGGAGGAAGGGATGAATGGCATCTGAAAGTTTCACTTGTTCTATTTGTGTTTTTTTATTATTTACATAAGATGAATGTGAAATAGGGAGCCACATATTAGAGTGCTAGCTCATTTTCCTGGTCTGCCAGCCATGATTTTATTTTGTATTTTCAGGAGAGTCACCCAGAGGCCTAGCCTACTCCTTTCCCAGCACTAGCCATTAGAGGTGCCTATTTCCTGATGATTTACTTAAATTTGAAACATGTTACTTGGGATCAAGTTTCTTTAATAGTTGTAAAAGTAGTCATAAAATATGCATTGCAGTGCTGGGAAAACATATCCACCTTGATTTATTACAGAATACTGGATAGTTATTGGATAATGAGATTATTTCCTACCACTTGAAGATTCAGCTGTTGCCAAGTAAACTCTAAGTATTTCATCAATGGATTTGTAATTTGTGGTTGATGGCAATGTAATACTTTGTAAACTTGTACTTCCAAGTTGGTCTGATTCATACATACAGATATAGCATTTTCAGGCTCATAAATGAGTCACAACTTTAAAATGGGCCCTTTCAAGTTATAAAAGTCGGCAGTTTGAAAGCATTCATCCTGCATCTGTGACTTGCAAAACATCAATGCTAAGTATAATGTTTGCCAAATAAATTGGTCATTAAAGTCTTTTATGGAAAGAAAAACCAGTACTCCCTCAAATTCAATTTTCTCTTCTTTCTTATGTAGATATGCTTCTTGTTTTGTTTTGTTTTGTTTTTTGTAGTTTTATTTTTTGAGTTGGAGTCTTGCTCTTGTCACTCAGGCTGGAGTGCAGTGGCACAATCTTGGCTCACTGCAACCTCTGCCTCCTGCGTTCAAGCGATTCTCCTGCCTCAGCCTCCCAAGTAGCTGGGACTACAGGTGCCCGCCACCATGCCTGGCTAATTTTTTATGTATTTTTAGTAGAAATGGGGTTTCACCATGTTGGCCAGGCTGGTCTTGAATTCTTGACCTCAGGTGATTTGCCCACTAGGCCTCTCAAAGTGCTGGGATTACAGGCGTGAGCCACCACACCTGGCCTTGTTTTTATTTTTTAACTCTTTTTGGTCTACCTCCTGAGAGAATAATGAGGAATAGTATTTGTTGGCAAGGGGCTTTGAGATCCTGGTTTAAAGAATGCAGATTGAAAATACCAGCACTGTTAAATTCACGTAGAAAAAACATGAAAAGCTCAGCAGCTCAGGAATCCAACCTCAATGATCTCATAGCCAGTTCATTATGGTCCTCCTCATCCTGTCATCCATGCTGATGTACAGATTTCATGGAATAGAGGTCCTAAGTGTTTTCTGACTTTGAAAATCCCTGTAATTATCCATATATACATCAGCAGCATGCATGTGTGCACTCCTGGGTAGCATTCTCATGTAATTCAGCTTCAGAACCACTGTGCCAGATAAAAAGAAGGAACATAAAGTCTAAATGTAAACATGCTGACATTCAAGCCATTTTGTCTTTAAGGAAATTAATACATTTCTTAGACATAAATAGGGCTTGGTTGGAGAAAATGCAAGTGCTTCCTACTTCCTGCTGGATTTTCTGCATTGTATTTTTTTTAATTTTATACTCTTTATTTTAAAATGTTTCCTTAATGTAAGATTGTATTAATACAATCATAGAAATGCAAGACAAAAGTGCCTTTACATGCCATAAAAAAAGACATTTTATATCTTGCTGAGCTTCGATGGATCTGCCTTCTATTATAATGTTAAGCTTTTATAACCTTAGTCCATGTTAATGGACTTGCTTACTATTATGAGAATTAAATGGGGAATGAGGTAGATTTTAGTATTGTATCCCCAAGCTGGTGTCAGGTAATAAAGCACCTACTGTCTTTCAAGGGAGCCTCTTGGCTTGAGTCTCTTAGGAGGGACTATGTGAACTGTTTCTCCGCTGCTTGCTGACTGGTAGAGCAATGTCTAGTCTATGGATGGTTCCTGAGGCTCTGCGGAGAGGGGCATCAGTCTGTCCCACCCTGATAGTTCCAATGCTGTTTTGTCTCTCATTCAAAATCCCATGAGTCAATAAATAGTCTGATCACTGTCAAATAATTAAGGATACTAAAAAAGGCCCAGGCATCAGATATTTAAACCATAGTGTGGTGGTAAAGTCAAAGCCATTTTGGGTTTGTGGCCATTATTCAGTGACTGTTTGGTGAATAAATATTAGAATTTAAAAACTTTGTGTAGAATTTTACCATGATTTTTGGTTACAGTGTAAAAAGACAAAAGGATCTTTGTCATTTTTTAAAACAACTTTATTGAGGTATAATTTACGCACCGTAAACTCCATCTATTTAAAGTGTACAAGCCAAGAATTTTAGGGGCTATGCAACCATCACTACAATCCAGTTTTAGAACAGTTCCATCACCCTCCAAAACTTTCATCATCTCCGTGCCCATTTGCAATAAATCCCTGCTCCCTCTTGCAGTCTTCCAGGTGACCACTAATATACTATCTGTCTCCATAGATTTGCCTTTCTGAGGCTGTCATATAAATTGAATCAAATAATATATAGTCTTTTACATCCAGTCTTTTTTACTTAAAGATTTTGATGTTTGCCTATGTTGTAGTATGTATTGAAGTTTGTTCCTTTTTATTGATGAATACTATTCTGTTGTAAGAATATGCCACAATTTGGTCACTCATTCACCAGTTGATCTACATTTAGTTTGTTTTCTGTTTTTGGCTACTAAGAATAGGGTTGCTTTGAACTTGTGCACACAATTCTCTGGATGAACTTGTTTTTCTCCTCTTAGGTAGCCATCTAAGAGTATATAATTTTACAAACCCACCAGCAATCGGCAATGTATGAAGGTTCCAGTTTTATCACATCCTTGACAACATTGTCAGTTGTGTGCGTGTGTGTGTGTATTATATATATTGTCATATCTGGATATGGGTATATAGCATTGCCAGTATGTCTGAATATACACATATGTGTATGTCTTAATGTGTGTATATAAACATACAGAAATATATGGTCTTAATATACGTTTATTTATAGTCTTATAACCATTCTAGTGAGTATAAAGTGGTATCTTATTGTGGTTGTAATTTGCAATCCTCTAATGACTAATAATGGTGAATATCTTTTAAGTGATCATTAGTTCTTTGTGTATCTTCTTTGGCAAAATGGCAATTCAAATTGCCCATTTTTAAACTGGGGCATTTGTCTTATTAAATTTTAAGAGTTCTTTGTATATTCTGGTTACTAGTATGTTATCAAATATATGATTTGCAAATATTTTCCATGGCTTGTGTTGTAATTTTCATTTTCATTGTTTTTGAATGTGCTGAGGCTGTGTACCCTTGGCTTTCTCTAAGTCAGTCTTGCCTTGCCTCCCAAAGCCATGCAGGAAAAAAGCCAGCTACACACACACAGCTGACTGTGAGCTCTTTGAAGAGGCTTAACTCCCTTGTTCAGTTCTGTGCTTCACATGCCTCTTCTTGCTGCCCTTTTCCTACCCTGAAGTCTTTCTTTTCTAGTAACCACTATTTTCTAGTAACAGCAAAGAGAGGAAAGAGCAAAAAAAGACTGTTTTTCAATCCTGCTTAAAAAGTCTTTCCAGTTCTTGCGTTGCTTTGATGGTTGTAGTAGCTGCGAAAAATGAAGCCCAGAGAATATCCGTCATTTTTTCACTTAGGATTAAGTGTTCCTGACTTGCCTCCAATGGGAATTTTAAGATTCTTTTTGTTTTCTCTCCTAGTTGAGGTAGTAATTTGTTTTGATTGATCCACAGCTTTCTTCATGACCAAAAGCAAACATTTGCAATGTGTCTGACCCCGTTTTAGGGATGTAGCTAGACATTGTGAAAAACCAAGCTCCTCCGTCCCTTTTAGGTGACCTTGCTGGTTTTTATGACCGTCCACAGTCATGACTTTGGAAGGATGATGCTCTAGCCATGGGCTGCTTGACCAAATGATCACTGTGTGACTGTTCTTTATACTGTGCTTTGTATCACAGTGACAGGATATTATAGTACAGGTCATAGGGATGTGGCAATTGATTTTGACATACGATATTCTCAGTGCCACAGGAGCAAAAGATGTTTGAGTGACTACTGTCTAATATCTTTGCTTTCATGTCTCTGCTCATGATTTAGTCTTCTAAAAGCTTTCTGTGTCATATAAAATATACTGTTTCAGTTTATTAAATTGTATTTAATATTCTAACAGAAGATATAATTTAAAAATAAGATTTTACGGACTTTTGTATTTAATGTTGTGGTTTTAGAACTTCATATAAAACCTCATGTAGGAATCATGGTTTGTAAATATGAAAGCCACAAAGTAAGGCACATATTATTCAGAACCAATTTATTAGCAGAAAATATCTTTTATATCAGTGATCATGGGGAAAATTAAATTTAGTGACTTTCTTGCGTTAAAGAAATGGTTGTGATTGAGCATATTAGTAATTATAAACTCCTGTTTTTGAACAAAACTGGGTTATACTAGGCATATGTGGAGAATCATCCTAAATGCCCATTTGGTATTATTTGGAATAATACCTTTTATGCCAGAGGGCATCTTACGAAATGAAACATCCAGTAGACAAAAATCAGTAATTTTAATCTGGTTTAAATATTAATCTGTTTTTGTCCCAGAGGACATAATGTTATCAAATGAAATACCCAATATAAAAAGATCAGCTTTAGTCATTAGTTTTTATCTAATTTAATGGTGACCAGCCCTTAGAATTTCTGGCTTACTACATGTCTGGAAGGGAATGAGTATTCTTATATTTATTGTTGTTATGATAATCTGCCTACTGTGCTTTCTACTATTTAGTAAGGTGTTTTTATTGTTTTATTTTGTTTTGCTTTTAAGATGGGTTCTGAGAAGTTTGGAGGTGTCGGTGTGAAGTGAGAAGCCACTCTGCTAGGTTTTTTATCCCTGTTTAAAGATTCCATTTTTGAAATATCACACTGATACCTTTTGTTCCTCCTCTTAACCATCATTCACCGACTATATCATCTAGATCTCTGTTCTTTCAGCCCTACCAAGGTCACTGGCATTTATTGTGACGTAGGTGCCTGATAGATAGTTGGGTGGTAAAAGGGATGAAGGTGCCACATTAGGCAGGTTTGATGTGGTCAGGAAAAGAACCAGGGGGACTGTTGTAGTCAGTAATCAGTGGTGTAGTTGCCTAAAACTTTTGTCTGGCTCTGATTAGGTTAGGAGATGAGTTCCCTCTGCAGGTTAAAGGTGTTCATTAAGTGCTTATGGTATTCTATACCATGTAAAAATGGGGGTACAAAAGCCTTATCTGAATCAAGCTCCTCAATGGTAAAAGGTGTATTTGATACCATCTGAATAGCCACAGAGCCCAGAGCCCTTTAATATCTGGGTCAGATAAAACCTTACAAGTCATCTAATCCTATCAGGCCAAGAGGAACACCAACTGCTGTCATTACATGAGGACTTGTGGGGTAAATGTTTCTGCACAGATGTGTACCTATCAGTTATAACAATAGAAGAATGATAATTAACACTTAATGAGTGACTTAAAGTGTTGAAATTTAACCCTACAAAGGGTCGTTATGAAGAAGATTACTAATGGGAATATTATACATTAAGTGTGAAAAAAATTCTTACACCTTTATTTTATCTGGTTCATTTGCAAGTAATTAGGGTTTTACCATTTAGTAAGTTAACAAAGGTTAATAAGGAAATCTGCATTAATTTAAAATTTCTGTGATTCAGGAGCAAAAATAGCACTTACTGAATATCTGAAAGACTGCAGACAAATTGGTCTTGGAAAACTGAAGCCTTCCTTATGTGCTGGACTGACAGGAGGAGGGCTTCACAGAAACGTGACAGGCATGGTTCAGCACTGCTTGAAACCCTTCTGTGTGTTCAGCCTGGAAGTATTTCCATTTACTCTGCTGGAGCACACAGACTTCAGACAGAGTTTTCTTCGTCTTTTATCTTGGATGTTGCCTTACGGGCTCTCAGCAACTGTGCAGCTGCCATCATTGTCTGGGATTTGCAATGGGGCAAGTGGGGCTGGCGGGGAGTTGGGGGGCAGTGGCAAGCAAGGGAACCCCATTCTGAGGCAGCAGTAGTGACAGAGCTCCAAAGTTTTTGTGACTATTTTGAGTAACCCTAAAGCAGCATTTCAACTTTCCTTTCATGAAACTGTCCATGTGCTAAGATCACTGCCACTCAACTTAGGTCCTGCTGTGCATTTAATTTCTTGGGTATTTCCTGAAAGCCCCACTAATAGGAACAGCGATCTAGAATTGCTCCTTTTGGAAATGCACTCTGCAGATGCTGCTCACTAAGGTCTGCAGAACTTCTGCTAATTCCCACCAACTGCCTCTGGGGAAAAAAAGGATCATGAGTTTTAAACCCCCACGTTTCACTTCCTCATACAAGCATATCTTCAAGTAATCACATAACTGAATGTGCCTGAGTAGACTAAATTTGAAAGAGAACGTAATAATTTTTTTCGTAGCTCTTTATCCAGTTTTAGTTTGTATTAGAGATTTTACCTGGTTTAGACTTTGTCTTAATTTGTGCTTCTTATTGATAATGTTTTGAAGGGAAAAATAGCAGCAAGGATTAAGAAAATGAAAATATTCTTTATTAGTGTGGTACACTAGTTAAAGCAGGGGTTGGTAAACCATGGCCCTTGGGCCAAATCTGGCCCACCACTTGTTTTTGTAAAGCCTATGAGCTAAGAATAGTTTTCACATTTTTTAATTGTTTGGCGAAAAAGAGATTATGTGATAGAGACTATATGTAGTCTACAAAGCCTAAAATATTTATTACCTAGCCTTATGCTGAACAAGTTTGCCAACCTCTTATCTAAAGTAGCATCATTTTGTCAAATTTGTTTTAAGCACAATGTGATATTTTCAATTACAAAGCATTTAAAAATTTTTACTTTGGGGTCAGACAATGGATTTCTATTTGTTATAGCTTAAATCTGGAGGCACCACCCCCTACCAAATAATCACTATAATATCTTTAGGACTAAATATAAACTACTTTTGGTACCAATGATCAAACATTGACATTAGTTCCAGTGATGATAGGTGCAAGTACCATACTCAGTAACCTAAGTCTTTCTGACTAGTACTAGCTAGATGCATAAGTAATTTATTTTTACATATACTAAATAAAAACTACCTTATTGGCCTGTGCAGTGGCTCATGCCTGTTATCCCAGCAATTGGGAGGCCAAGGTGGGAGGATTGCTTTAGGCAAGGAATTCAAGACCAGCCTGGGCAACATAGTGAGACTCCCGTCTCTGCAAAAGTAAAAAAAAATAAGAATTAGCCAGATGTGGTGGCATGTGCCTTCAGGCCCAAATACTTAAGAGGCTGAGGCAGCAGGATCACTTGAGCCCAGGAGTTTGAGGCTGCAATGAGCTATGATCACGAGGCTATACTCCAGCCTGGGAAACATAGTGAGACCCTGTCTCAAAACAAAGCTACCTTCTCCATTCATCTACAGAGAATGCAGTAAGATATGAAAGAATTGCTCTGATCTCTTGAGGAATCTGGTCTCCTAGATTTTAACTTCATTGACCTTGGGTAACATCAGTACAACACTGAGTCATTAAGAAATCTAATCTGAAAGCTGTGGAGGAGCAGGTCTTGGGATGGACTTGGAACAGTAGCCTCTAAAACATAGTCATTGGACATTGGCAGAATGCCTTTCCTTTGACTAGGGAAATAATGTAAAGTCTTTTTGCAATATCTCTCTCTGCAAGCATGTAAACTGAGCTATGCAAAAAGCAGTAGCTCCAGGCTAGTTATTCCTAGGGCAGTTATAAGGATAAAATAACCTTTATTGCTACTGTTTAGTGGAGTACTGTAATGAAATACTGTGATTGTCTTTGTCCCCTGGTCTCTGCTTCCAAATGCAGGACTGCTTCTACCAAGTATAGCCTATGTTACTTAACATGGGAGAAATTGACCAGCAAAAGATTAAAATAATTCCTGTTTGATTTTCTTATAGGAGTCTCTACTAAGACCTCTTATGAAGTTTGCCTGCTATCTCTCTTAAGCAATACTACCTTTTCCATAAACAACGTTCATTCCTTAGAAGAGTATAAAAGAAGACGCTATAATTTGTCTAAGATACCAGATATCAGAGACAATGCCATGGTTGTGATAACATTTTTACTTTAAATTAAGAAAGCATTCACAGAACATGTTTTATAGGCAATCTAGAACTTTAATGGCATGATAAGAATTCCATATTATGTTCAGATGGTAGCTTTCCTCTCCCCACTTCTTCATGCTATTTGATCCTTCAGACAGGCTGTAGGTCTGGCTCATTTTGGCTGGGCCTGCTGTGGGCCAAAGGACTATCATTTTATGGCAATTTTCAAGTTAGGTAAAAATAATATTCCCCTTCCACATTATTTTTGATGGCCATATTTTTCATATTTAAGACAGTTTGGGATATGACTAAAAATTGTGGTGGTGATTCTTTGGCAAAACAAGTTGATTTCTTGAATGCTGCAGATTTTTGTACCTTTCCAATACAGCCTAATTTGTCTTAGCTACTTTTCGATCTATTTTGCGCATAGCCTTGGATATTCTTGATTTTAGTATATGTTTCCTTTTTATAGAATGGTCTTTGCTAGGAAGGAATAAATCCTGACATATGGTTTTTAGTGAACCAACATACATGAAATTTTACAAAAAAAAAAGCCAACATGTTGGTTAGGTGTTAAGACAAATTTAATTAATTAATTAATTAATTTTATTTTTTAAACATTTTTGAGACAGAGTCTCGCTCTGTGGCCCAAGCTGGAGTGCAGTGGCACGATCCCAGCTCACTGCAACCACCACCTCTTGGGTTCAAGTGATTCTCCTGCCTCAGCCTCCCGAGTAGCTGGGATTACAGGCACCTGCCACCATGCCCGGCTAATTTTTGTATTTTTAGTAGAGATGCAGTTTCACCATGTCGGCCACGCTGGTCTCGAACTCCTGACCTCAGGTGATCTACCTGCCTAATTTATATTCCTACCAGAAGTGTATAAGTATTCTCTTTTCTCTACAACCTCCCCAGCATCTGTTTTTGTTTTGTTTTGTTTTTTGAGACGGAATTTCACTCTTGTTACCCAGGCTGGAGTGCAATGGCATGTTCTCGGCTCACTGCAACCTCTGCTTCCCAGGTTCAAGTGATTCTGTTGCCTCAGCCTCCTGAGTAGCTGGGATTACAGGCACCCGCCACCATGCCCAGCTAATTTTTGTATTTTTAGTAGAGACAGGGTTTCACCATGTTGTCCAGGTGGGTCTCGAACTCCTGACCTCAGGTTATCCACCCGCCTCGGCCTCCCAAAGTGTTTACAGGTGTGATTACAGGCGTGAGCCACCACACGTGGCCATAAATTAAAAAGAATGTATCTGTAATTTGGCCACCTTGATTCACATTCAAATTAATCTTTTTGGTCTTTTTTGTAAGAAGCCAAGGTATTTGAACCACCCTTATGTTTCCCAGCTTTTTATATCAGTAGTCACTGGTATTCTACCAAAACCATTCTGCTAATTAGTTTTTTCCAACATCAGTGCTAGGCACAAAGAGAGAATGTGAGTTAATCAGAAAGCGAACTTGTGCTGCTACAGGAGATGTCTCAAATCAAGGGGGCTATTTTAGACACGTCTTACTGCTATAGATTAAATTTTTATGTTCCCCCAAAATTCATGTTGAAACCTAATTTCCAGTGTGATAATATTTAAAACTGGGGTCTTTCATAGATGATTGGGTCATGAGGGTGGAGCCCTCATGAATGGGATTAGTGTTCTTATAAAAAGAGACCCCAGAGAGCTCCCTAGCCCCTTGCTCTGTGAGGACACAGAGAGAAGGTGATTGTCTGTGAACCATGAAATGGGCCCTCACCCGACACTGAATCTTCCTGTGAATTGATCTTGGACTTCTCAGCCTTGAGAACTGTGAGAAATAAATGTCTGTTTTATATAAGCCAGTCAGCTTATGGTATTCTGATATAGCAGCTCAAACAGACTAAGACAATTACTCTTCCCTAAAAAGAGAAAAAAGACTGAATGTACAAGTCTGTTATGGATTACAAATGGCTAGGCATTCCAAAACAAAGCAAAATAAAAAAAACGAGGATCATATATTATTTAAGTGTCGTCTTTTAAATACCCTTCAGTAAGTCTGACCATGTGGTCTCCTGGATTTGCTTTGTGTACAGCTGTGGGCTGTTTTTTTTGAGCAAATGTGGGCAGACCATCGTCAGAGACTCATAGATGACTGACACTAATCTGACTGGAACTTCTCAGAAAGCACATTCTGTTAAAGTTGGTTGTCCTATTGCCAGACAAATGATTAGCACTTTTATAATAAGTTTTATCAGCCTTGGGGCTATTCTTTGGCCAGATACAGTCTTAGAAGGTAAAAGTTACAATTCATGTTATGTGGCAAATAAAGTTAAAACATAGAAGTATCCACATCTCCCAGCACATAAGCTGGCACAAAGCTGGTGTTCAATTAATGCATTGTCTGTTAAGCATTACCTGAAGTAAAACAAGGGATATTTTCCCAAATTTTCATGGAGTACTATACCACTGATTCACAGCTTGACTCCTTGAGGGCAGGGATGATAGCTCTTATTTTCTCTGTGCCTGGCACCAAGCACTAAACCTGGAACAGAACCAGTGATCAGAAAATAGTTGTTGGATAAGAGAATCGGGCTAATTTTTGATATTTTGCTGATTTTTAAGGTTCATTTCTCATGGTGTCCTCAGATTTAATTAAATGGGAATATGGGTTCCTACTCACCCCCACAGCCCCCAAAAAAGACACAAGAAGAAAAACAGAATGGTACGATATGAGCCTAAATAAAGAGGCTAATCAAAAGCTAACTTCTCCAGGGACTTAGGAAGTGTTTCATAAGTTGCATTGCAATCAGTAAGTTAGATTTGCCCTTACTTATATTAAGACCTATTTCTAAAGGTATTCATTTATTAGGAGAGGAAAAAAAACCCTGCAAACAGGTCCAGGGGCAGCAATGAAAAGAGATATAAAATTTCTTACCCATTATCTTATTTACAAATATATATATTGGCATTTCTTCTTGGTTGTGGGGACCATGAATAAAAAAATGGCATAGTGTTTGCCCTGTAGGAGCTTACAATATAATAGGTATATGCATGTGTAAACAAACTGTCATTTGAGAGAGAAGCAGTCACTATAATCAAGGGACAAGCAAACAGGTCATTAAGTCATAATTTCAAAACTCAGGGGAAGACTTTCTAGAAAGAAAACTTGATTTGAGGCTTCAGAATAAATCCAATTTCAAAAGGCCAAAAAGTGAGGCAGGATATCCCAGACAGAAGGAACAGCATAAATACAGGCATGGAGAAAGGGAAGGTGCAGGGCAGTTTCGAGGGTCAGAGAAGTATCTGTGTCCAAGTGAAGAATTTATGAAGAAGGGTTGCAGTTGGAAATTAAGCTAAATTGGAACTGATGCATGGGAAAATACGGAGTCTGGATTTTAGTCCATAGGTATGTTCCCAAATTCTTTCTTGGTGATGTTTATGCCAAAGGCATTATTATTTATTAGAACTTTTATTACATTGACATTTTTCTTAAATACTTTGACTTACCATAACTATGGATAATAATCCTGTATTACTTGCCCTGAATAAATTCAAAAAACCAAACACTTATAACATTTTAATTTGACACTGTTCTTTCACTAATGCTCTGAACTGAACCTGCAGGCTTGTTAAAAAGGGAGATGAGCACACATCAGAAGCATGATCCTGACCTATGAGCACTAAACTGACACCTTTTCTTAGCTATACTGAAAGAATCAGAAGAGGATCAAAACGAAAATAAATCACTAAGAGATACTATATTTTTAAATCTTGAGGTTCTATGCTACTGAAATTCATCTCAAATACCTCCTAAAAATTTAGCCTGTGCCACTGCCTACATCTTATGCCTTCAGAAACTCAGCTAGAGACACTGGAGCAGGCCTAAAGTGTTTTAGGTATCTGAGTAATATAAATGCTGCTCATATTTTAGAAGGAAAACCCTGGCAGCATTGTAAAGGGCAGTTCGGAGAGGCCAGGCACTGGAAACAGGAAAGCCAGCTGAGAGGCTATCATGTAGCCTAGGCTAGTGGGGAGGGGTCTCCATTAAAGGGTGCATCCTTTAATATTCAGTACTGAGAGAGTAGGACCAAGTGACCCAGACAGAGGCCAGAGAGAAAGTTTGAAGAGGAGTCTAAGGTTTCTAACATATGTGAAGTAGCAAATGTAGTAGGTACTTACAATATACACTGAACACAGGAGGAGAGAGTTGAAGAAGGGGCAATGATGGATTTTATCTTGTAGATGCCCAGATGTTGAAAGGTAGAAGGGAAGAAGGTGGTCAAGACAAGCCTGAGTATACCTCCATCTAAAGACGTTGTTTATATAATGGGGGAAGAAGAAAGGACAAATACGTCAAGGCTCAAGTCACAGAAAGGGAAGTTAAGGGAATTCACATCAAATGGCCCTTGGCATCTGTGAAATGAAAGATAAAGTTATGTATGAAAGGCAAGCCTGGTGAAGAAATGATGAAAATTCTAAATTCAGTAAATGAAAGATACTACAATTTGTTCTACCCAAGGCCATGGTGTGAAGAAGGGGCTTAACTATCATGCTTTTAAATATTACAGATTCTGCATAAATCCCAAAATACTGCAACTTCCAATTCACATGGCAGTTACTAGGGAAATTCAGCTAGGAGCTAATATATCATGCATGTCTGAAGGGTCCCACATTGCTAATTCCATAGGACCTACACCAACAGTCAGAAATTTCTGGACTGTGCTAATTTCTGGACACCTCCTACTACTTTACAAAATATTTACACCCCTGTGTCAAATGCCAATCTGTTGACCTTCCCAGCTTAGTTTACATGGTCCATAGTGATTGACAATCCCTCCTTTGCACACATCCTCAATAACCTTGCACCCTCTCCCTTCATCATACCTACCTGGAAAAACCAGCCTTGGTTAAATCAAATGCTCCACCTGCTCTGCCTGGACCCAACCTCAGATCAGAGCTGCAGGAAAAACACACAAACATGCTGACAGGCTCACTTTAAATTTTTGTCTATCTGCAAATCCTGTTGGCTCTCCCTTCAAAATTATGCCCTGAATTCAACCACTTCTTAGTACCTCCTCAGCTGCCATTGTAGTCCAAGTCACCACCATTCTCATTATTAAGGGAAAATAGATTGTCAAGCATTTCTCCTGTAATTGCCTTCCACCTTGGCTCCCTGTGGCCATCCCTGTTCCCATGGTCAGGTCCCCACCAGCAGCCAAAGATCCTTTTAAAAAACGTGAAAAAAGGCTGGGTGCAGTGGCTCACACCTGCAATCCTAGCACTTTGTGAGGCCGAGGTGGGTGAATGACTTGAGCTTAGGAGTTTGAGACCAGCCTGGGCAACATTACAAAACCCCATCTCTACCAAAAAAAAAAAAAAATTAGCTGGGCATGGTGGCACATACCTGTAGTCCCAGCTACTTGGGGAGCTGAGGCAGGAGGGTTGCTTGGCCCAGGACATTGAGATTGCAGTAAGCCAAGATCATGCCACTGCCCTCCACCCTGTCTCAAAAAAAAAATGTGAAAAAGATCATATAACCTTCCTAATCACAAGCCTCCAGTGACTTCCCAATTATATTTTGAACAAATCCAAAGGGTGGTAGATTTTGTCAAATACTTTTCTTGTGTCTATCAAGATGCTTATATGTTTTTCAGATGTTAATCCAAGCTTGCATTCCTGTCATAAATCCTACTTGGTCATTTTGTATAATTCTTTTTACCTGTATGTGTTGCTGAATTTGGTTTGCTAGTATTTTGTTGAGTTTTTTAAAATCCATATTCATAAAAGATACTGGTCTATAGTTTTTTTCTGATGATGTCTTTGATTTAATCTCAGGTTAATATTGACTCAGAGAATTAATTAAATGAAGTGTTCCTTCCATTTTTTTAAAGTATTTGTGAAGAGTGAGTATAATTCTTCTTTAAACATAAGGTAGAATTCATTGATGATTTTATAGGCCTCTCATTTTTAAAATTTATGCTGAATATGAATATTTAGAACATTTGTGGTCATTGGAACTAAGTTTTTAAACTGTAGTCATTTTTACTGCTGTTAGAGAATGAAGAATAACAGCCAAATGAGAGTTCTTTTTAGATGTTTGTATTGAATGGTATCATATAGGGGAGGGGAAAGAATCACCCGGACTGCTCATAGTATATTATGTCTTACAGGATTCCCTTTGCGATTGTAGTTTTATCTTCCCAATCATTTCCCTCAGCTTTTAGTTAGATTCTCTAACGGAAGCATATAAAATTAACTTTCTGAATTGTTCCATGGGATGAAGCATTACACACTCACAGCGGAAAGGAAAGTTTCACATTTTGTAGACTACAAGAAAAGTTTGCTTATTGTGGAATGGGGAACTTTTTAATGATGCCATCTAAATTGAACCAAGTGGGAACATGACCACCAGCCACCCACCTGCACCTGGAGTCATCTCCATCCTGCCACAGCACTCACCATGTTTCCTTTACTTGTTCTCTTCTCCCCCTGCACCTTCTCCTCTTTCAAGAGCAAACTTGTCCTGGGACTTCCCTGACTTCTAGCTCACCAAGTTCCCAATTTTCTACTCACCTGGTACTTTAAGAATCTTGCCATTTCTTTGAAATATTTTCCAATTAACAATAATAAAAAAATTTTGACATGTGGGTTTGATGGGAGTATTCAGACTGCAGGGGAGAAAGAAGACAAGGGAGGAACATTCACTAGGACCTTGGACCAACTGAGGGGAGTGGGACTGGCCCCTGTGGGGACAATCCCATAGGTGGAGCTAAAGGGTGATAGATGACGCAGACAGCCCAAGTGGCTGTTTGGGTATTTGGCTGGCTTCTAAATTCCCATCAAACCAATCCCACTCTTGTTTATTAGAGTCCTATTATGTTAATATTGGTCCCAGTGTTTATAGAATTTGTACTCTGGAGCAGTTTACACCATTTGGTGATAAAAGCACTATACAAGAATATTCTTCATGTATGTGCTCATTTCTCCTGGAACATTTCCTTGCAGCTGTCAGTAAATGGGGCCTTCCCCAGATAAAGGAAATCTCTTTCTTGGAAAATCTTTGAAAATAAGTATGGAATGCTAAGGGATAGCCTTATTAATAAGGTGGGGAATAAATTAAATGACCCATAGACCTTTGGAAGCTAAGTGTTTTATTCTGCTTAATATTTTAATGATGGCTTTGGGCCTTCTTAGCACTGCATTATAACAGAGTCATTCCATTATACATAAATTGGTACTATTAATCTAAAAGTGCTAATTCAGACTTATATTTACTGTGCTTCTATTTCTTGTGAGATCAAAACACATCATAATGGGCATTTGCTCCTAGGAAAGGGCGTTATATGTATGAGAAGGTAAAGGAGAAAAGCTGTAATACCTCGGGCCTGTTCTGTCTGAAGTTAAGAGTAAGCTGTACTCATTTCATTTCATTTAAGAGCGGGTCAAGGATTCTTCTCTCTTCCTCTGTTTATATCTTTCATATTTATTCAATGAAAAGTTTATAGCTCTTTAATCTGTATTATGTCTCAATTTTACAAAGTAATTTTGTTAGACCATAATTTTTCATTTCACTCTCTGTTTTATGAAGAGTTTCTCATTAGAATAATGAATGTATGTGTTTTAATAACAAATAGAAAGAATAAAAATCCCTTAAAGGGAAAAGTATTAAATGAATCTGCTCCATCATTTAATGGGAATTTCTAGTTATTCAGATATATTTGCAGTACCTTATTATGCTAATGGAATAGTTGATATCTCCTAAAGTATAATCCTATTCCTTATATCTAGAAAATAGTAGTTTTGAACTCTTTAGAAAAACATGTTTTAAGCCTTAGTTTTTTATCTATAAAAGTATGCATATTTATTATAAAAGCATTTTGAAAACACAGGTAAAGATCAAATAAAATAATTTCATTGATATATTCTATTTTAATACTAATGTCTTTGTGAAAATTATGTAAAAATGTATTTCTGTTTGTTGGTTTTTAATTTCTCAAGAAATAATCTTTTCATACAGTGAATATATCCACTGCCCTAAAAAGTCTCATCAGTCTACCTATTAATCCCTTTCTTCTCTATTCTGCCCCCATAATCCCCTGGCAATCACTGATCTTTTCATTGTCTTCATATTTTTATCTGTTTTAACATGTCATATAGTTGAATTCATAGAGTATGTACCCCTTTCAGATTGGCTTCTTTCACTTAGCAATATGCATTTAAGATTCTTCCATATCTTTTTGTGGCTTGATAGCTCATTTCTTTTTAATGCTAAATAATCCATTGTCTGAATGTACTACAGTTTATTCATGTACTCATTAGAGGGCATCTTGGTGGCTTCCAAGTTTGGGCAATTATAAATATAACTGTTATAGACATTTCATGTGTAGGTTTTTGAGTGGACATAAGTTTTCAAGTCATTTGGATTAATACCTGGGAGCATGATTGATGGATCATATGGAAAGAATATGTTTAGTTTTGTAAGGAACTGAAAAACTGTCTTCCAAAGTGACATACCATTTTGTAATTCCACCAGCAATGAATGAGAGTTCCTTTTCTCCACATCCTTGTCAGCATTTGTTTTTGCAACAACAAATACTGGTAAATACAAATCAAAATACAATGAGATACCACTATGTATCTATTAGAATGGCCAAAATCTAAAAAGAATAGAAAGGATCAATTTTGGCTTTTCTAGTATGTATGTAGTGGTATTTCATTGTTGTTTGGATTTCTGTTTCCCTAATGACAGATGATGTGGCGCATCTTTTCATTTGCTCATTTGCCATCTGTATATCTTCTTTAATGTGGTGCCGTTCAGATCTTTTGCCCATTTTCTAAATCGGGTTGTTCATTTTCTTATTGTAGAGTTTTAAGTGTTCTTTGTATCTCTTGGATACTCCCAGTCTGTGGCTTGTACTTTGTGTCCTCAGCAGAGAAGCTTTTAAGTTTAATGAAGGCCAGCACAATCAATGTTTTCTTCCGTGGATTGTGCCTTTGGAGTTGTATCTAAAAAGTTCTTGGCAAACCCAAGTTTACCTAGATTTTCTCCTAATATATTTTCCAGGATTTTTATAGTTTTGCATTTTACATTTGAGTCTATGATCCATTTTGAAGGTTTTGGGGGTTTTTTTGTGGGTAGAAAGGTGTAAGGTCTGTATATAGATGCTTTTTTTTTTTTTTTTTTTTTTTAACATGTGGATGCCCTGTTGTTCTAGCATCATTTGTGGAAAAGATTGTCCTTTCCCTCTGTTGATTTGCCTGTATCAATGATCAGTTGATTATACTTGTATGAGTGTATTTTCTACCTCGCCTATTCTGTTACATTGGTCTATTTGTATATTTTTTCACTATTAACACACTGTCTTGATTAATGGCACATTATACTAAGTCTCGAAGTCAAATAGTGTTATTCCTCTAAACTTATTCTTCTCCTTCAAAATTATGTTGGTTATTCTGGCTCCTTTGTTTCTCCATAGAAACTTTAGAATCAATTTGTTGATATCCACAAAATAACTTGCTGTAATTTTGGTTGGGATTGCACTGAATCTTTAGATCAAGTTAGAAGAACTGAAATCTCAACAATTGTTAGCTTTTCTGTCTATGAACATAGAGTATTTATTTAGCTCTTCTTGGATTTCTTTCCTCAGTGTTTTGTAGTGTTCATCATAGAACTTGTACATACTTTGTTAGATGTACAACTATTATTCATTTATTTGCTGCTAATGTAAATGGTGTTGTGTTTTTTATTTTAAATTCTATTTCATTGCTGATACATAGAAAAGTAATAGACTTGGATATTATCTTTGTATCCTGCAACCTTGCAATACTTACTTATTAGTTCCAGTGTTCTTGTCCCTTCCTTGGGATTTACAGAGAAAATTGTTTATCTGTGAAAAAGATGGTTTTATTTCTCCCTTCTCAATCTGTGTACTATTTTTTCTTGTCTTTATTAGCTAGAACTTTCAGTACAAAGTTGAATAGGAATGATGAGAACAGACATCCTTGCCTTGTTCCTGATCTTACCAGGAAAGCACCTAGTTTCTTAAGTGTGATATTAACTGTAATTATAGCTGTAGGTTTTTGTGGATGTTTTTTACCAAGTTGAGGAAATTCCCCTCTATTCTTAGTTTCCTGGTAGATTTTACCATGAATGGGTGTTAGATTTTTGTCAAGTGCCTTTTCTGCATCTATTGATATGATTATGTAATTTTTCTTTTTTAACCTGTTATGTGGTTGATGGATTACATTGATTTTCAAATGTTGAACTAGCCTTGTATGCTCAGAATAAATTCCGTTTAATTGTGATATAAAAGTGTTTTGTACTTTAAGTAAACTTGCTAACATTTTTTGAGGATTTTTGCATCTACATTCATGAGAGATATTGGTTGATAGTCTTACGTCCTTATAATCTCTTTGGTTTTGGTATTAGGGTAATCCTGGCTTTATACAATGAGTTAGAAACTTACCCCCCCATCCCGGCTTCTGTCTCTAGAAGACGTTGTAGAGAATTAGTATAATTTCTTCTTTAAATGTTTGGGAGAATTCACCAGTGAACCCATGTGGTCCTGGGGCTTTCTGTTTTGGAAGGTTATTAGTAGTTTTCTGGATTTCTTTAATAGATATGGGCCTCTTTAGTTACTTTTTTTTTCTTGTGTGATTTTTGGCAGATTGTGTTGTTCAAGGAATTTTTCCATTTTATCTAGGTTGTCAAATGTGTGGGCAGAATGTTGTTCATAATATTACTTTGCTATCCTTTAAACCTTATGGAATCAGCAGTGATGCCCCCTCTTTCATTTCTGATGTTTGTAATTTTTGTCTTTTTTCCTTCATTTGCTTGTCATGAAATTTATCAATTTTATTAATCTTTTCAAAGAACTAGCTTTTGATTTTTCTGATTTTCTCCATTGACTTACTGTTTTCCACTTCATTGATATCTGCTCTAATTTTTTAATTCTTTTCCTTTTGCTTATCTTGGGGTTAAACTTCTCTTTTTCTCATTTTCTAAGGTGGAAGCTTGAATGACTGATTTTAAAACTTCCTTCTTTTCTAATATATGTGTTCAGTGCTATAAATTTCCTTCCAAGTACTGCTTTTGGTGTATCTCACAAATTTTGATACATTGTATTTTCAATTTCATTTACTTTAAAATATTTTTAAATTTCTCTTGAGAATTGTTCTGGGACCCATGTACTATTTCAGAGTTTATTGTTTAGTGTCCAGGTATTTGAGATTTTCCAGTTATCTTTGTGTTTTTGATTTCTAGTTTAATTCCATTTTGGTCTGAGAGCACATATTGTATGATTTCTATTCCTTAAAAAATTTTAAGTTATCTTTCAGGGCCCAGAATATGTCTATTTTAGTGAATATGTGTGCTTAAGAAAGTGTATTCTGCTGTTGTTGTGTAAAGTATTCTATAAATGTCAGCTAGATCCAGTTGATTGATGGTGGTCCTCAATTCAACTACGTTGTTACTGATTTTCTGCCTGTTGGATCTATGAATTACTAACAGAGAGATGTTGAAATCTCCAACTATGATAGTGGATTTGTTCTTTTCTCCTTGCAGTTCTATCAGCTTTTGCTTTATATATTTTGATGCTCTGTTGTTAGGCCCACACCCAATAAGGATTGTTATGTCTCCTTGGAAGATTGACCTTTTAACATTATGTAATGCCCCTCTTTATCTCTAATCGGCTCTTTTGCTTTGAAGTTTGCTTTGTCTGAAATTAATATAGCTACTCCAACTTTCTTTTGATTAGTATTACCATGGTATATCATTCTCTGTTGCCTTACTTTTAATTCATATGTGTCTTTATTATTAAAGTGGGTTTCTTGTGGACAACACATGGTTGAGAGGTGACAGCGTGCTGGCAGTCCTCACAGCCCTCGCTCGCTCTCGGCGCCTCCTCTGCCTGGGCTCCCACTTTGGTGGCACTTGAGGAGCCCTTCAGCCCACCGCTGCACTGTGGGAGCCCCTTTCTGGGCTGGCCAAGGCCAGAGCCGGCTCCCTCAGCTTGCAGGGAGGTGTAGAGGGAGAGGCGCGAGCGGGAACCGGGGCTGTGCGCGGCACTTGTGGGCCAGCTGGAGTTCCGGGTGGGCGTGGGCTTGGCAGGCCGCGCACGCCGAGCAGCCGGCCAGCCCTGCCGGCCCGGGCAATGAGGGGCTTAGCACCTGGGCCAGCGGCTGCGGTGGTTGTACTGGGTCCCCCAGCAGTGCCAGCTCACCAGCGCTGCGCTTGATTTCTCACTGGGCCTTAGCTGCCTTCCCGCGGGGCATGGCTGGGGACCTGCAGCCCGCCATGCCTGAACCTCCCACCCCCTCCATGGGCTCCTGTGCGGCCGGAGCCTCCCTGATGAGCGCCACCCCCTGCTCCACGGTGCCCAGTCCCATCGACCACCCAAGGGCTGAGTAGTGCGGGCGCACAGCACGGGACTGGCAGGCAGCTCCACCTGCAGCCCCTGTGCAGGATCCACTGGGTGAAGCCAGCTGGGCTCCTGAGTCTGGTGGGGCCTTGGAGAACCTTTATGTCTAGCCCAGGGATTGTAAATACACCAATTGGCATTCTGTATCTAGCTCAAGGTTTGTAAATACACCAATCAGCACCCTGTGTCTAGCTCAGGGTTTGTGAATGCACCAATCGACACTGTATCTAGCTACTCTGGTGGGGCCTTGGAGAACCTTTGTGTGGACACTCTGTATCTGTCTAATCTGGTGGGGACGTGGAGAACCTTTGTGTCTAGCTCAGGGATTGTAAACACACCAATCAGTGCCCTGTCAAAACAGACCACTCGGCTCTACCAATCAGCAGGATGTGGGTGGGGCCAGATAAGAGAATAAAAGCAGGCTACTGGAGCCAGCAGTGGCAACCCGCTCGGGTCCTCTTCAACACTGTGGAAGCTTTGTTCTTTCGCTCTTTTGCAATAAATCTTGCTACTGCTCACTCTTTGGGTCCACACTGCCTTTATGAGCTGTAACACTCACCGCGAAAGGTCTGCAGCTTCACTCCTGAAGCCAGCGAGCCCACGAGCCCACAGGGAGGAATGAACAACTCCAGATGCACCGCCTTAAGAGCTGTAACACTCACGGCGAAGGTCTGCAGCTTCACTCCTGAGCCAGCGAGACCAGGAACCCACCAGAAGGAAGAAACTCCGAACACATCCGAACATCAGAAGGAACAAACTCCAGACGGCGCCACCTTAAGAGCTGTAACACTCACCGCCAGGGTCCGGGGCTTCGTTCTTGAAGTCAGTGAGACCAAGAACCCACCAATTCCGGACGCAGTTGGGTCTTGCTTTTATTCACTCTGACAGCCTCTTTTTACTAATGTATTCAGACCATTGATGTTTAAAGTGATTATTAGTATAGTTGTATTATTATTTATCATATTTTTCTTTATTTTCTGTTCATTGCCCTTGTTCTGTTTTTTGTTAATTTTTTTGTCTTCTGCCCTTCTTCTGATTTCTGCAGTATTAATTGAGCATAATATATGATTTCACTTTTTATCCTTTTTAGCATATCAGTTATACTACTATTTTTTTTCTGTTTGGGAGGTTTCTATTGAAATATCTTCAAGCTCAGAGATTTTTTTTTCCTTCGCTATAAACAGTCTACTACTCATAAGCCCATCAAGACATTCTTTATTTTTGATAGTGTTTTGATCTCTAGCATTTCTTTTTGGTTTTTTCTTACAATTTCTATCTCTCTGCTTACCTTACCCATTTATTCTTGCGTGCTGCCTCTTTTTCCTTTAGATCCCTTAACATACTAATCATAGTTATTTTAAATCCCAGTCTGATAACCCCAACATTCCTACCATATCTGAGTCAGGTTGATGCTTGCTCTGTCTTCACACTTTTTTATTTGGAATGCCTTGTAATTTTGTGTTGAAAGCCAGATATAAGATACTGGGTAAAAGGAGCTGGGATAAACCGGTCTGTTGTAATCCCCTGGTATTATACAAGAGCCCTATTGATATCAGTAGTGGTTAGCTGTGAGAAGAAAGGAGCCATTCTGTAGTCCGGTGATTAGTTCTCAGTCGTTTAATAAGTACAGGTCCCTGGGCTGTGACTTTCATCAGTGCTTCTCAGGTTTTTTTCCTCTCCCATTTAGATGCAACAGTAAGGCTAGAAGGGGCTGAAGTGGGGGTGTTTTCCTTCCCTCAAATGCCAGATCACTCCGGGGGGAGATGGGGAATGGGGTGCCTGTAATTGGGTATTTCCCTTTTCCCAAGTGTTTTAGGCTCTGGTGAAACCCAAGGTGGTTACAGTCTGGTAAAATAATTTCCTATGAGGGCAAGCTATTGTTAAGAACAAAATGTTCTGGGCTTATAAAATGGTTACTTTTCCATTTTCTCTGCTGGAAGCAGGAGGGGATTTTTCTGTGATCTTTATCCTAAGATCCTATTGGAGCTCCTGGAAATTAAACTTAGAAAAATGTGATGCCACTCTCTACCCGTCACTCCCCACCCCTCACCCCTCACCCCTTACCCCTCACCCCAGGACCAGGCCTTCCTGAGTTTGTTTTCTCTCTCAAGCTAGTGAGTGCACAGTCTCTAGCAATTAGTCAATTACCTTTTAAGTATCATTACCTGAGGCTGGCTTCAGAGGTGGTTTTTGGGTGGTTTTTGTTCCAAGTAAGCTGTGGGTTTTCCTTATCTACCTGTGTCCCTAGTTTTGAGGGTGGTGGTTTGTCTTGTGACCTTAATTCTCTGCTAGATCTAAGAAAATTTGTTGGTTTTTAGTTTGTCACCTTTTTTTATTTTCTTGTTGTGAGGATAGGAACGATGAGTCTCAAACTCCTTTGGGCCAGAAACTGGTAGTAATGAAAAATAATGTTTCTAGACTTCATAGTATTCTATCAGGTGGATTGTGTCTCACTCTAAACAAAACTCCTTTTGAAAGCAGGAGAAAATCCTTTAGTTTGATCAAAGAGCCAAATATAGGCATCACAGAATTTGCTTTATTTTTACTCTAAAAAAAAAAGATGATTTAGATAGTATTTAGATCATTATAATGTTATTTGGGTGATTATAATTTTATATATTAAGTTATACATTTTACATTCTTTTCATTTAAGCATTCTACATCATGAGTAAATGTGAAATGTTAAGTGATAATCATTTTAAATTAAAGTCTTTTAATTTTATGTTTTTACATGAATATGAAAACAAACTTTAGTCACTGCTTCTAAAGTGAAACTATATTTTGGGTTATCTTCAAGAAGGCACAATTCCTTAAGTAGATAAGTTAATGAGCATTTGGACTTTTACTTTTGGTCATTATGCTTCTTTGTAAGGGTGCCTTAAATTTGGCTAGTTTCTGTTTTCTCTGAAGTAGGGGTTTTTATCTCTGACCACCTTGAACTGATTTGCATTGTAACTTGTTTGTCGTAATCTTTTTGCATTTGCTCTGCAAAGCTGCATTTCACACCTCTGACTGTAATGGGTCAGTCAGGGTCACCTCATTATACTTGAAATATGAAATGACACCCTGTAGGTCATCATCACCCTGCATGTCTACCAGAAATGAGAAATTGTCCTTAAGAATACACTTTGTCAGCTTGGTGTTACAAGTACCAAAGTGGTTACAGTATTTTACATTGGGTTTTGAAGTATTTTTTAAGTTTTAGGTGTTTAATCAGTGTAACAGATTTAGGAATGGTTTCCTATCAACTATGAGATAGTCTGTAACACAGTTTTTTGGATTTTAGTGTATAATCAGTTCAACTGATTCTTTTTGTTCCCCTTATGGAATCATTAAATGATCGTAAAATTAGAGCAACAAATGCCTCAGATTAAACAATCTTGATTTACTTGTATGTCATTTGATCAGATGAATAAGGCCTTAGAAAATCAACTAAATAAAGTCAGCATTCAGAGTCCTGACTTTGGCCTTGCTATTTATTATGAAATTCCACCTAGGCATACATACTTGGACGGTTGTTTGGTTTTTTCCTCACGATACTTTGTTTCTTCATCTTTTGGACTATGTGTATAACATTGACATTTAATGAAACGTATCTGTACATTTTTCATTTGGCTAAATAAAGGCATACAAGTATGAAAGGGAAAAAATCGATGAATGAATCATGCAGTTCAGCTTCCTACCATTTTTTCTAAAATCTATAGAAGCTTTGAAACAGTGCTATCCAATAGAACTTTCTGCAGTGATGGCAGTGCTCTTTGACACTATCCAATGTGATATCCACTAGCCAAATGAGGTTATTGAGCCTCTGAAATGTGGCTGGCATTATTGAGGAATTGTATTTTTTATTTTATTTAATTTTACTTAAATGTAAGTAGCACTTTGAGCTAGAGGCTACCATATTGGACAGCACAGATTTAGGTTTTATTTGTGGGTTGTTTTTTTCTTATCTATAAAATGTGTGTGTGTTTGTGTGTGTGTGTTTGTGTGTGTGTATGCGTGCATGCATGCATGTGTTGCAAGAAAAACTGAGCTTTAAGTACAAGTCTTTCATTCAAGGAAAGGTATCAAGAAGAGAAATTGGCACCAAAACAGTAGAATTGGATATATATATAGAATCTGTCCAAGAAATCATTTAAAACATAGTAAATTTGGTACACAGAATTAAATGGACTTCTTCCCAGAACAATGGAACAGCAGTCGAGGAATTGAAAACAGTGCCTGCTGGAGAAAAACAGGAAGAGAAAGAGACAGTGGGAACAGAGAGAAGGGGAGGAAGAGAGGACGTGAATGAATGCAAGTGTTATTTATTGACATTTTAGAAATTTTAATTGAGGTGATATTACTGTACTGGCTTTGTAATCTAGTAGGGGAAAAAGCTAATTTAGTCTAGCTTCTTTTTGTAGTGAAGACTCAATAGTTAAATAAACAGTGCTCTGCAGAATCTGTTTATTCCTTCAAAACAGTTAACCTTTCAGATTAAAGATGGCAAGAGCTAAAAGTAGAAAATAAAAAAGTGTTATATTGACAGGTTTGGGGACTATTGAAAGTGTTACATAGTTCAAATCCTTCTGATTAACTTGAGTTTTCCAACTACATGTGATCACATAACATACTATAGTTTGAAATTAAAGAACCAACATTTTTGTAGGACTCTCTGGTGTAAAAGGATCTTCATTCTGGGAAGGTAGAAAATCATGAGTCTGGGGAAGAGGACATTGAGAAGCAGTCACGTGTCTATTTGCCTGGGTGATATTTGAGTAAGATTTTTTCTGGATCGTCAGTAAATTTGTTTTTGGCTTTTCTAAACTTTCTTTCTTAGTTCATTTTCTTAAATATTTCTTTTTCTCTTGGTTTTTGCCTATCCCAGAAAATTATCATCCAGTTCTAGGAGCATAATAACATGTTTAAATGTTGTGACCAGTTAAAACACAAAGCCCCACTTTATCTACACCAATCTGTTAATATAATTCCTTTCACCTTTATCTCCTTCTCAGTCTTTCTAAAGCAACTGTACAGCTTTTCCTTCCTTGGAGAAAGAAAACAGATTGCCAGCAATCTGCCACATTTGAGTGTTGTGGTCTGGGTGTGACATTTCTGAGCGTAGTGATTCCAGTAGAACACACTTACTATATTTACAGTTTGAAATGTAGGAGTGCCAGATAGTAACATAAAGGGAGGTTGAAAGTTTTACATAATGAGATGCTTAGCATCAGCTCGGTTTGGATGAACTGCTCTATGGACACTAATTCCCATCACTCCATGTGACTAGATGGAATTTTGGCTGGGTCATTGGCATTTGGGAGGATTATGATAGGGGAAAGTGTGGAATTCCAGAGATGGGACATAGTGGTATTAGAAAAAATATATTTCTGTTGCAACTTTTGATCTTTTGGGGACAGGATAGAAAAGGGGCTTAGCAGCTAGAATCTCTAATTTCACGCCTCACTTAAAATAATTTATCTAGAAGATCTTTGGGAAGGTGCCATAATGTTCCCAGGGGTAGTTTAGCCATGCCAACAACAGCAACAACAACAACAACAAACAGTCTCTATGATGCTTCCTCCTGTCCCCATTTGTTGGGGAAAATGGTGATGTCACCATGCTTCAGACATTCCCCGAGCATGTTGTCACTATGCCTACCAGCCATCTTACCTTAGCACTTGGTCAAAAATAAATTCTGCCCTGGTGCCTCTTTAAGTTCTATTTTCCCCTATTTGCCTGTCTGAAAACTCCCGTTGCTCTTACGAACTGGACAACTAAAGCTGCAAAACCCTATGTTAGAGAATCTCTTTCTACAGATAAATGTGACAGCCTTGGTACAGCAATGAGTGCGTTGGAAAGCACATTTAATAACTTTCTGTGGTGTCATTATAAAATATGTTAATAGAGTGTAATTACAACATATTTTAACTGTAAATTTAACTTAGACATTATAGTGCATGCATTCAAATAAAATTCAAAGGAAAAATGTACAGTACATAAAAAAATCTGAAATTTCATATTCAGTAAAATGATAGACTTGATATTCTCATAACCTTTTGCGTAACATCTAGAGGAGCTGGACAAATGGACGCCCATAGCTAAATGGGAAGGGAAATCTCCACATGCCTACATATATGTATGAAAACATATCAGCAGAAATGCAAGTAATAAGCTGGCTCTCACGCTTCAGCTACTCTGAGGACCACTTCTAATCTTGGTAATTAAGAGCCTTAACTTTTTTAGGTTCTTTTTTTAAAGAGAAAACTGCAGTAAGAATATAATTTATATTAGAACATGGTATATAATCTCACACCCCACTGAATAGCAGATTTTGTAGCAATGTGCACAGTTCTTACTAAGGATCAGTGTTAACTACTCTTTTTTACGATTGTACTCCATTCTGTTTTATTACAAAATGCTGGTCATAATGGTGGTTCTCAGTCTTGACACCTAGGAGCCATAAAAATATATATGCCAGGGTCCCACCCTCAGTGATTCTGATTTCACTGGTCTTGGGTTGTGGCCCAGGAATCAGGGTTTTAAAAGCTCCCTGGGTGATTCTAATGCACCGCCAAGGTTAAGAACCATAGCACCAAATTGATTTCACTATGTACTAATAGAACTTGACAGCATATTTCAAAACCATTGCTCTAAAGGGATATACCTATAATAAAAGAATAGACTAAATATAAAATCTCCCACCACAGAAAGAAAGCAAACCAACAAACAAAAAAACACCCTTGATTCCCAGGCTGGGTGGGGTGTGTGCTTGGTGAGGTTATAGGGGTAGAAAGTGGTCTACCCTAAAGAATATGTAACCAAAGGCCTACTCACATATGCTTTTGAAATTATACTATGACAAGTTCAGAAATCAGCATTTAAATCCCTGGTGGGTAACACCTTGAATTGCATGGTGGAAGCAAACACTAATCTCTATGAAGGGACATACCTTGACTCAGGTTCAGCTGGGTTTTTTTTCTGACATAAGACATAAGCCTCCCTCCACCCAACCACCCAAGGCTGCAAGCTGCAACCACCATGAATTCTCTGTTTCTGGAAGTGTAACAGATCCAAAGCCAAGTAAAGAAAAAAGAAACCTACATGTAGACACATGAACGTAAAAGGAGTCAGAAAAAGAAAAGAAAAAACTTGCCACAATGATTGCTGATCCTAGAACATCCTAACATAAAAAACTAGAGCTGGAATATACTGCCTATTTCTAAACTGCTGAAAGAAGTTAACTCCTAACCTAGACTTCTATGCCTTCCTAAATTTAATTTAAAAACAAAGGCAAAATAAAGGCATTAGGTAATTAAAAAGTGAGAGTATGTACCACCAGGTCCTCACTAAAATAACTTCTAAAGGATTTCCCTCAAAAAGAGGGATGAGATCCCAGAAAGGATTTTTGACATCTTAAATGTGAGAAGGAATAGGGAGGAAAGAAAAAATAGCCCTCTGGATAAATGTAAACAAACAGGGTCTACAAATAACAAAACAACACCAAAAATGAGTACTTGGGAGGGTAAAGAAGGTTGAACTGAGGAGTTGGGTGACATGGTACAGGTGTGATTAGATTTAAAGCCTTCTAAGGGTCATGTACCTGCACTACTCAGGGGAAGTGGGGTGGGGGTGGGGGGGGCTTTGAATTCTAAGTCTACAATCAAGTATGTCTTGTTAAAAGTTATAAGTATAACCTGTAAAGTAATAAAAATAGAATGTATAACATCTAAGCAAATAGAATAGAAAAATGTGTAGTATGAAGGGAGCATATAACAAACAGGGAATTATTAATAGAAATTTGAACACAATGTGATAGCTAAAACCCACAGATGTTAGTGATCACAATAAATGATATTCTTTTTTTTATTCTAACTATATAAAGCTTACAAGAGTTATAGCTAAAACAAGTATGTCAGTGGGTTGAAAATAAAAGATTGGAAAAGATACAACAGGCAACTACTTACCAAAATGAGTTTAGTGTCACTATGTTAATATCTGATAAAGATAGTGTTAAAAGCAAAAACTAGTAGGAATAAAAAAAGATCACTACATAATGTAAACTGCAATTCACTGCAAAGTTGTAATAATTCTAAACTTGTTTGTATATATTTAATTATATAGCCTCAAAATATATAAAATAAAACAGTGAGCAAACTAGAGAAATTAATACATTTACTATTATAGTGCAAGGTTAATACAACTCAGTATTTAATGAGTCATGCAGATGAAAAAGATTATAGATGATTTGAATAACACAGTTAACAAGCTTAATCTAGCATACATATATTAAACCCTGTAGCCAATAACTAGTAAAGATACATTCCCTTCCAGCACGCATAGACTGTTTCAGTAATTGACCATATGTGATGCCATAAAATACATCTCAGTAGATTTCATAGAATTAGCATCAATGTGTAATTCATGTTCTCAGAGAACAATGCAGAAAAATTAGAAATCAAAACTCCAGAAGTAACTAAACTAAAAACATACTGTTAGTCTTCCCTCCTCCCTAGCAATAAACACTATATTCCTAGGAAAAATGTCATGATAATATGAGGGTGGCATCCTTTCAAACTGTATATAAATGTATAATTTTTTTTTCAAAACAGGGACATGTTTGTGTGATCATGTAATTTGGTTTCTGTTTGTTTTTAACTCAGCAGGCTATTACAGATATGCTGCCATGGCAGTACACACAGGTATCCCACTAGACTAGATCACTAATATATGTCTCTAAAACAAGAGCTTAGTAAACGAGGCACTTGACTTTGGGTCACCTCACTTTGCTCCTAAAGATCTATTATCCCACAGCCTGTCCCTCCAGAATTCACACTGAGAAAGAAACAAGACTGCCAGTGAGTAGCCAAAAATGCATGTTTTAAAACTTAACTGCTGTATTCATAGAAAAAATAATTGGTGGACTCAGGGATAGCTTTCTGCCTTTCATTGCATACTATTTTAGTATAGCTCAGAATCCCATTTCTCAAACACAAATTAAAAAGAGAAAAAAGCCACTGGAGTGAGGATAACAGAAGTTAGTGACAACCTGGTTGGTTCCTGGTTAGGAACAGGATAAACAAAACAGTACAAAAGTGACATTATTAGAAACCACAATCTAGAGAGATTTCACGTGGGGAAGAGACATCCCTCTCAGTGCATCACCATTACAGCAGAACGAATTATATATATACATATATATATATAATTTTCATATATTTACTGTATATATAGAGAGAGAGAGTCAATATTTGTAAATATAAGAAAAGAGTAACTTCTGTTCATTGAAGTTTGGAGGACAGGGACATTTATGTAGTGATTTTAAGGAAAAACAATGCATTTAAAAATGGAGTTGATGCAGAAAGTTACCTGGTTATAGGGGCTGAAATCATCAGGAATTTACCTATGTGGGGTGAACTTTGGCAAGTCCCTTCACCAGGCTGAACCTCAGTTTCCTCAGTGATATGACAAGCTGCTCCCATGCTTCTGTCCTGGGATACAGTTGTCTCTTTCCTGCCCTCATGCAATACATCTCTATGAATACCTCCTTTTTGAAGTATGCCTCGCCAGATGCTATTGGGGCTTATGAATGGCAAACGACGGAAGACTCAGACCATAAACCTGCCCCTCGGGTTTACAGTCTAGGAGGAAAGATGAGAGATGTGCACCAGTAACAGCAGTGCAGGGACTAAAGGATATGTAAGAGAGGGATGGAAAATACTGTGGTGTATAAAATTAAGTCTCATCGGAACAGGACCTTCAGAATATGAAACACTTGTGAACTCGGAGAGATGTGGGCAGGGGGAAAAGAGGACACACAGTAGTTCTGTTTAAGAACATAGTGCATGAGCATGGTCAGAAGGGTAAATTGGAACGTCATTTAGAGGGACCTCATGCCAGCACAAGAGATTTTTAAAGGTGTTTTTTTCACAAAGGAGTGACTATTTAAATGCTTAAGGCCGGGTGCAGTGGCTCAAGTCTGTAATCCCAGCACTGTGGGAGGCTGAGGGGGTCAGATCACGAGGTCAGGAGTTTGAGACCAGCCTGACCAACATGGTGAAACCCTGTCTTTGCTAAAAATACAAAAATTAACTGGGCGTGGTGGCGCGTGCCTGTAATCCCAGCTACTGAGGAGGCTGAGGCAGAAGAATTGCTTGAACGCAGGAGGGGGAGGTTGCAGTGAGCCGAGATCATGCCACTGACTCCAGCCTGGCGACAGAGAGAGACTCCGTCTCAAAAAAAAAGAAACAAAGAAAAAAGAAAAAAAAAAAAGAGGCTTAAGAACATGGGGGTCATTAATACAGTACTAACAGTTGATTTAAAATTTTTCTGCTTCAGTGGAAGACTTGTAGGTTATTTTCAGCATTTGGTCACATAATGTTCATTGTTCTCATGTAGAAAGAACTTTAGAATCATTAGGCTAAATGCTTCGTTGGGATTATGTAAGGAATGCCTTGCTTCCACAGTCTAAATCAGATTGAAGAGTTAAAAGGGAACAAGAACACAAGGATCTCAAATTATCCATTGCATAAAATATTTAATTTCCTATGAATAAGTGGATTTTACTAAAATTATTTTTCTGCCCTCAGGGGCTCTCAGGAAAGCAGTTTAATGAAGGGTACTGATTTTAGAAGCTCTTAAAATTTTTATAGTAGAAGTAATCTGTGAAGGCACGTGAAATAGATGCACGGGTGGCAAGTATTGAAATCTATATTGTAGTGGGTGAACCTCAGATTTACTAAGAAGCAGCCTGAACGTGTGTTTGGAAGTAAAGAGATCTGGGTTATCACTCTTCTCTGCTCCTAATTTGTCATGTGGCTGGTGATAAGAAGAAGTGTCAGGAAAGGTGGGTTGGGACCCAATTATTAATGGCTTGGGGTATATGCTAAAGCAATTGGACTTTTCATTCTAAGCAGTGGGGAATCACCTTGTTTTAGAAAGATAACTCACAGAACAATGAGAAGGATGATATAGAGAGATAGGCTGGAGACAAGGAAAGAGGTAGACTGGTAAGATGTCTGTTACAATGGACTAAGCCTCTGTCTTCTCATCACTAGAATAAGGCAGTGGAAATGGGAGTTCTCCCACTTATTCATTCACCAAGACTCTCCTTTTTGAGTACCATGTAACAGGCATGGTTCTAACCAGCACAGGGCATATTGCTTTGAGCAAGACAGAGACCACTCCTTAGCACAAGTAGTGGTAATTCCAGGTGCCATGGACCATACAGCAAGGGATACATAACCCCTTCTCAGGAGGAGGAGGGGTTAGAGTATTAAGAAATCACTGACTTCGGAATGTGAAGGACCAAAATACAGGCCAAAGTGGGGATTAAGATACAAGAAAAAAAAGACAGCATATGAGAATCCTGGAGGGGTAAGAGCAATATATGCCCCATGAATTGAAACTACTTCAGCTGGAGCTTAGGGTGCAAGTTCAGGACAGCAAAAATTAAGATTGGAGTGGCAAGCAGAGGCCAGGCCAAAAAGAATGCTCAATTTGAGAATGTTTGAAAGTGGATGCCCCAGAACGTCAGGGTTCCTTGATTTGAGGGATGAGACATAGGTAAAGGTGACTTCAACTTGTGTGATTTGATTTCAGGCACCTTGGTATTTGGAAATACCATCTTAACAGACGAAAGGAATATGGAGGGAGGACAGCTGTGTGCTGTGTAATGGCACTGATGAGAGAGCACCATTTGGGTGTCTGGGTACTATGCTGACCTGAAGCTTCACAAAAACACCTTCTTGTCTCACCAAATGAGTCTGGGGATTGGACAAAGCTGAAGAAAGCCTGCTGCTCTTCCTAGAACCTCCCCTCACTCAAATACCCCCTGAAAAAATTTTTCTCCTTGCACCCCACATTGCATCAAGTACAGTGATTTGCACAGTGTGGGTCTTCATTGTATTATTTTTCTAAACCAGCAGGTTGTTTATTTAGAACACAAAGTTTAGATGGGTTCATGATTTGTATATGATGGGAGGTCACAATTCTGAATACAGTAGTAACATAACATATGTGCTTGCATGTATATGTGTGTGTCTTTACATGTATATGTATACATGCAATGTGGGGTGCAAAGAGAAAAAGTATTTCAGGGACTATTTGGGGGATTTCTAGGAAGGGCAGCTGGCCTTCTTTAGCTGTGCCCAAGTGATTTCAGGATAAGCACCTTTTATGATAAAGTGTATGTAAATTGGATCAAATAAATCTTTAATATGATAAAAGCAAAAATGCCCTACAACATGCCTTACCTCCGTTTACTAAGAAAAAAGGGGTTATCATGAGATCCCTTTTCAATTGTAGATGTCAACATTTTAATAAAGTGTTCAGCTACCTTTGCATCCATGAGACACTTTATAAAAATATTACTTATCAGTAAAATACACAAGTTAAGAAACAAACACTTTAATTAAATTGCACAGAGCAAAAGAAAGCTTTAGTTGGCTGCATTATTCTTCACACTGTGTTTTAAAACTATTTCTATGTAAGCTAAGTAGCTACACAAATAGTCACACCATTGGAAGCATCTGTTTAAAAATGTTTGACATGCATCAAAATACACAAAGTAATAAAAAGATCATCTCTATATGTATTCCATTACTTTTTTCCTGTAGTTTGCTAGTATTGCTATCAATATGCATATCACTAAACAATATATAAAATTATCTTGTAAATGTATAAATTAAGCCTTGCTTCTGTTATTTCTTCAGTAGCATGCCAGGTGAGCAGAACCTCAGTACTGGGTAATGAGAGACACTCTCTTTTATTCTAGTTGTTTGATTTGGAAAGCAATGCATCCCAAAAGCATCTACCCTGCAGTAACCTTTTTGTGGATCCCACCTTGGGCACCAGCTGTTTCCCACAGTATGGGCAGGATCACGGGAAGTGACCAGCATAGGCTTAATAGGAAGAACAAGGGTGCTTTGCAAGCCTGTGAAGCCTAGGATAATTCTTCACTTCTTGTGGATGTCAGAATTTCTGGATAGACGTTACTGGCCTCCTCCCCTGGCCCCAGTACTTGGTACAGTCTTCCTATGAACTAGGGGAGTACTACCTGTCTGAGTAAACTAATATACAAAAATGAGTCTAAACTCATTTCTTTAAAGTATTCGACTTATTTTCCTTGTCCAAGAAGCATCACAACAAAATAACCAAATGACAGAAGCGCATAGAATACTGTGTCAAATATGTATATATAAAGTCTTGGAAATTGGGGAAGGTATTATATCTTCTGTGTCCTATTTTACTTTGGCAAAGAGGAAGTTCTTAGTGAATCTTAATGGCTAAATTGAAATAGCCCTGTTATGAAAGCATTTATATATGTGTTCTGTGGATCTCACAACTTGGCTCTCTGGTCCTTGCTGTCCAACATGGCAGCCAATAACATCATACGGCTATTTAATTTATATTTTATTTTTTGAGACAGAGTCTCGCCTTGTTGCCCAGGCTGGAGTGCAGCGGTGTGATCTCAGCTCCCTGCCACCTCCGTCTCCCAGGTTCAAGCTATTCTCCTGCCTCAGCCTCCCAAGCAGCTGGAATTACAGGCATGCACCTCTGTGCCCGGCTAATTTTTGTAATTTTTTTGGTAGAGACAGGGTTTCACCATGTCGGCCAGGCTGGTCTCGAACTCCTGACCTCAAGTGATCCAGCTGCCTCAGCCTCCCAAATTTCTGAGATTACAGGCATGAGTCACTACACCTGGCCTTTAAATTTAATTTTAATTGCCTGCAATCTACTTGGAAGGCTGAAGCAGGATAATTGCTTGAATCAGGGAGGTCGAAGTTGCAGTGAGCCGAGATCACACCACTGCGCTCCAGACTGGGTGACAGAGCAAGACTCTGTCTCAGTCGATCAATCAATCAAAATTTTAATTTATTAAAATGACATAAACTTAAAAATCTAGTTCCTCATTTGACACTATTCATCTTCAGGTGCTCAGTAGACACATGTGGCTAGTGGCCACTGTGTTGCACAGCACAGATATTGAATATTTTCATTATTTTTGCAGAAAGTTATTTTGAACAGTGCTGTAGTGCAGCTCCTATTTCCTTTTCTAATATGCTTCCAGGTCAGATATTTCCTATAAGCTTCCTCAAAGCCTATGTAGAACACATGCAAATACTTATTTATATCCTCTAGAGCACCCCTGTGGCTACCAAGCTGGGCACATAGTAATTCTTAGCCTGATTGGTAGAATGGAGGAGAAAGCTGGTTTTGATCCTTTTGACTTTCACCTGCCTAGTGGCCATTTAAGTTCACTGCACTGAGAACTGAATGGTTTTAGATCCAGCTATTGTATTTGGCTAAGAGTTTGACTGTCATCAGCCTAATTTTGTTATTTTAATAGAAGGAAATGTCTCTGGGTTTGATAGGTTCTTGTTTGGGAAGTATAGTTTAACAGAGGTAGAATTTAAGAAGATGTCCTGTGTTTGTTTTGAAGAGAGATGACTGACAAACATTTTGCACAACTGAGCTCAAGCTCATGGGTCTGTTTGATTTTTGTAATTCTGATCCTCGATGGCCTTTGGTTAACTGCAAAACAGTCAAAGTGCAGAGGCTATTCTCTCTCCAAGCTTCCCTTTGCAGTATTCCATCCTATTGATTCCTGCATTACCTATGGGGAAAAAAAAAGTTTGTTAGACCAATTTAGTGAGCCAGAATTGTGATTCTGTTCAGGAAAATGTCTGCTGTATTTGTCATTGCTAGTCATTTTACAAGTGTATTTTGATGAGCTGAGTATGTACCACACTTTACGAAGGGTGCGCTTTTTCCTTTTTGCTTCTACAGGTGAAAACCTTCAACCAGGAAGCATTTTTATCATTTTAAATTCCAAAAATACTAATATTTAAGAATAATGAAATATTGAATTGCCTTTTTCTTTTCACCTTTTTTTCTGGATTAGTTGGAAACTTTATAGGAACTAGTGAAAGCTACATGATCTATTTGTGGATAGTGCTGGAAAACAAGGCTGGCTTTTTAAGTAATTAGTAGGCTGGCTGGCATTGAAAGTTTTGGGGTTTTCGTGATTTATGTAGTGATTTTTCTCCAACCATTATATGTTTACAAAATTTTACTTGCAGTTATTTTCACTCTTTTATTCACTTTCTCACTTTCAGCTCCCCTATCTCATCCTTTCTTGTTACCCAACTCTTCTTTTCTTCCCTTCATTTCTTATTTTCTGCCTGTATAAAAATATTTTTCCGGCTTTAACACAACATATTGTGTCAGTTCCAGATCTCTACAAGGGTGTTCTGAAGCCTTTATGGAGTAGGGGACTGGTGGGTCTTAGCGGTGATGGTTTGAGTTTGAGACAGCTTCGTTCACTACACTGTGCTCCTCCTGCATGAACCTAGACCTGTGTTTTAATTCAGTTCCTGACATTTTGGCATTGAAGTCTATATTTTAGCTGCCCATGCTGAATCAAGCAAGGTGCAATTAGGAGGCATTCTAAGACTAATTTTTAGAATTGAAGTGGGAAAATTTAACTGGTAAACCTTGAAAATGACCTTCCCAGAAAATCTGTGCTCATTCTCCTCAGCCTGTCTGGAATCATCTTCATCTGAGAACTCTCTCAGCTCGCTGGGTTTGGTGGCTCAGTTTTCTGACTCTGCTTCTTATCTCTCCCCGAGGAATAATGCAATGACATTCAGGAATGTTCTGCTTCCCTAGAAACATAGCTTGAAACTGTGAAGTGCTGGAGGCTAAGACTTCTTGTCATTGTTTGTTCTACGTAGGAATTTTCATTTGCTGTATTTTGAAAATTAAAAATTTAGAATCAATTTGTGATAACTGCGTACTGTAGATGGGGCACCTTAAGCTGGTTGATTTGGATCAGTGGCGCATATTTTTTTCTCAGTTGACTGAGAGCCCTAAACAGAAGCCCTGTCAAAAAATTCTCAGGAATACGTGACTGATACTAGACATAGAGATGTACGTCCTCCCTCGGCCTGCCACCCTGGAGATTGAAGTGCTAGTGTTGGTAGGAGAGGCAGCTGAGGGGGCCCAAAAATGAAATGGCACAGAACGATCGTGAGCTTTCTTTTTTCATTTGGACTTCTTGTCACTGAACTTCCCACTTTCTTCCTGGTTTCATTTTGTGGCCTGCTGTACCCTCACCCTATGTTGCTCCTGCCTTTCCAAGGGACCTCTGACTAACCTTTTCCTCTCCCTCCTCTCCTTCTCCAGCCCTCTTTTCAGTCTTTGTCATACTAGTTACTGTGCTCATTGGCAGTGGCAGCAAAACGTAGTGTAGGGTAGAAGGGAGCAAAACCAAAGCTGCGCATACTCTGAGCAGCCCTCAGGTATGTCACCTTGCTTCTGTGCAAGAAGGCCCACTTCCAAAAGTAATGACTTTTCTTTGTATCTACTTTTACGTAAATAGAGTACTTGCTGAATATAGAGCACACAGTCTGTACACTGATGAGGACTTGGGTAGCGTTTTGTTATCTCCGTGCTCACAGCCACCTGGTGAGGTAGACAGTCTGTTCTCTTAGAGAAAAGCGAGGCTCAGACATTAGGATGCACTGCTGTGGGTCATGCAGAACAAGAGGTGGGGCAGCACCTCTGAACCCAGCTCAGTTCCTCCTTGCCTCTTGTCTCAGAGCAAGTGAACAAGACCCTGACTTTTATATCTTCAAATGCAGGTTCATTTCCAACATTGCCTAGTTAAAAATATCCACAGGGATTTTTTTTTTCCTTACAGATTTAAGAGATAAGATCTGGTCTTTGATCTTGAGAATCTCAGAGGGGTGAAATGTACAGATGCTGCCTCCTCAGATCTGCTACCTTAGATTGGATTTAGAATAGAGTAAGCATCCAAACATACACACACACACACACACACACACACACACGCGCGCGCTCGCGTGCGCGCACTCTTCCCTTAGAAGAGCCCTTAACCCAGAATGGGGGCTTTCCCTGCAGGGTATTCCCACAACATCACCTCACAGCCCTCCTCTAGCACTGATCTGGCTGAACTCTGCAGAGCAGCTGTGGGGATAAACTGGTGTGGCACTGCCACCTAGTGACTGCCCGCCACACCGTTCTTTGCCTCTGAGGTGCCGTGCATCCGTCAGCTGGCCGCTACCCATCATGGAAAATCATAGTGGGGGCTTCTAAAAATAGAGTCTGCCAGGCCAGTGTCAACATGCTTTCTCTGCTATCAGCAGAGCCTGGCACACATCAGACATGGATTAGATTAAGTGTTTTTGAAAAAGTGGTTTTTTGGGTAAGGGAATCTTTGGGCCTGGTCGAGCATGGCTCCATCTGTCTGCTGGGGTTCCAGTTTCCTCTTGGAGGAGCTCACAGTGTGCACAGGATGCCTGGCACGCAGCAGGAGCTGAATGAATAGAGGTTGCCCCGCAATGTTTAAATATCCACTGGTCTGGAAGTTAGAAAAGGAACAGGAGGAAAGAGAAACTTGGTCAGAAATGCTAGTCCTGGTTAAAACATTGTTCTGGATTTTGATATTTTTTGATTTCCCAGAAAGTATCAGGGGCTTGAGAATATAATTCTCTTCAGGCGTTTTTGCCAAATTCCAAGATTTTCCAGTTTCACTACTTTCCAGATGTGTTGATATGAAGCCAGCTCCAGATTGTCTGATGGCCATTACTAGAGTCCCAGCTGCCCTGAAACTCTAGGCCAGTGGTTCAGAACAGGAGTAATACCGCCCCCAGGGGAATTATGGAAATTAGTGGAGAATTTTTTTTCTTGTTGCTGCCTTGGGCCAGGGATGCTGTGTATCTGTTACGCATTTAACAAAACACTGTTCTACATCCCACTTGACTTCAGATTGACCTACTGGATATTACATATAACAAAAACCTGTTTATAATTTTCTTAGCTTAGACCTAAATTCATTTTAAATAAGGACATAAAATAGTTTTGCTCAGTAGTAATCAACATTTAATTTTCAAATAATGTAATTTTCTAATAATATATAAATTGGGGGAAATTATTAGTGATACCGTCTGTGTTCTTATAGGTTTTTAACATAGTAGTGAAAGTTATATAGGTGTAAGATTTGAGACTTTTAACTTATTGACAGATAAGTCATTGCTGAAGTCACTTATTCCAATATGACATGTAAATGCATAGTGAATAATAGAGTTAGAAAACAAAACCTCTTTGTCCTCTCAGGGAAACACGATAAATGTAATTCTTCAAGTTTGAAAATTTGTGGATGTTCTATCATTCCCTTTTCCATTGGGACATCGAACTTTATTTTAAAGTAAGCTTATGCTCTTAGAACATAGCCGCTGATGGTCTGGAGACAAAAAAGTAAGTTGTCTATATCCCAAGTGTGAATGAAACTGTCATTAGCCAAGGTTAATGCATGAAAAGAAACCGGACATTTTACAGAACCATGCCCCGCCAAACATACGCACACACACACAGGGAGAGAGAAAAGGGGTTAGCTTTGACATTTTTCTCAATGAAAAGAAGAGAGGAAGACATTCCAAATGTGCAAAATTAAAGGAGCAAAAGAAAATCAAGGTGAAAATACTCACTTTGGCATTTTAGAGTCAATAAAGAATTATATAATTTATAAAAATTCAAGGCTGGAGGCGGTGGCTCAAGCCTGTAATCCCAGCACTTTGGGAGGCCAAGGCGGGCGGATTATGAGGTCAGGAGATCAAGACCATCCTGCCTAACATGGTGAAACCCCATCTCTACTAAAAATACAAAAAAATTAGCCAGGCATGGTAGCGGGTGCCTGTAGTCTCAGCTACTTGGGAGGCTGAGGCAGCAGAATGGCGTGAACCCGGGTGGCGGAGCTTGCAGTGAGCCAAGATCACGCCACTACACTCCAGCCTGGGTGACAGAGCAAGACACTGTCTCAAAAAAAAAAAAAAAAGAATCAAATGGAATCCTGCCTAAATTAAAGCTGGGCTTTAGATGTAGCAGCATTATACTGCCTGTTGCCACTGCTGCTTCTCTTTGTTTACTTACTAATATTAAAGGAAGTCTGTATTGAAATCCTCAAGATCCTAAAGCCATGTTTATGTTTTCATAACTCAGTTATAGGGAAAAAATAGGAGTGCAAGGAGGGGACTATGAGAACGTCAAATAGATTGGGGCAGTTTACATTCTCATACGTTCTATAAATTAGTTCCAGAGAGAGTAGTTTCATACATAAAACTACAGCATTTATACTTTAGAGCACCCTCACTTAGGGAGGTTTTTATTAAAGTGTTTGGACTTACTGGATTTTACATTTTATTTGAATTTAGAACTGTAATTTTAGGTGTCAGTGATGGAACATTATTAGACACTCATGTCATCATTTTCAATCTGTTGCATATATTTTTCTTTGATAGGTCTTTACATCTGGTGTTCACATTTATTACAGCTTGCATATTACCTTACTCCTTGCAACCAGTTTTCTGCCTTACCACATTTTAAGCTTCTCATGAATGCTTACTATTTTTACTCATCTACATATTCTCAGTGCCTCCAAAAGTTTCTTTACATGTAGATGTTCACCATGTTATTGAATGAGAAACTCCTGAAATAAAGCTAATTGATGGTTCTCAGACTAGATAGCACATTAAAATCATCTGGGGAGCTTTTAAAAAATCCCTGTGCCATGGCTTCACCCCCGGAGACCTCAGCTTCATTGTTTACGGATGGGGCTTTGCACAGGATTCCTTTTAACACTTCCCAGGTGGCTCCAATATGCAGCTACAGGTGAATATGCCGCTACAGTGAATAGCTACGTGTGAATATCAGCAACAAGTAAGAGACACGTTAGCTCTTTCTTCTGAGCCATTGGCAGTAAGCTCTTTTCCTTTTGAACTTAGATATGTACCTTCTTTGAATTTCTTTTTATGCTTATATGTTCTAATTAATTGAAGCAGTTATTTTATTTGCCTTTACTTCAAATGAAAACTACATGCACATAGTTGCAATTTGGAAGGAGACCATTTATCAGACTCCTTGCATCTCTCTGAGCCTGCAGCTGGTGGACACGGCAATATCAGCTTTGTTACTGAAATTAAACGGATTTGGACACCACCACTTGCCCTACAGCCACATGGGCTTTCTAATGTTCTGCTGATTTACCACTGAATTTGAAAAAAGTCGTAGGTGTACCCTCACACTGAGGGAGTCACTCTGTGTCCCAGGTGAGCTTACCACATAGAAAACCCCATACACCTGCTTTGTGGGCAAGCCAAGGAAAGAGAGGGCCTGATCTATGCCTGCTCAGTTCCTACTGCCAGATTTTTCATCCCTCCCCTGTACAAAACAAGAGATGCATTGCCTACCTCTTTTCCTCCCAACACACATACACACTACTTAAAACAAATAATGTTAGAGGCAAGCATTTGAATATTTAGCTCGGTCTATTTTTCTCCTCTTAGAAACTTTTTAAGATCTTTTCTTTATTCCTGGTATTTAAAAATTTACAGTCATCTGCCATGACTTAGGTCATTTCTTATTTCGTATACATATTCTCAGTAGAATCTTCCCTTTAGAGATAGATGTGTGCCTTCCAGTTTTCCAGTCAAAGAAATAGAAGAACACTATTTCTTTTCTTCCACTGTCCATATTATCCTTCTGGAAAGATAGTTGTTGGAACCTCTATTTTAATTGTCTGAGAATGTATCTTTTTTGTTCTCCTCTTCTCTTTTTGCTTTTTTCTACTTTCTGGGAAATTTCTGTCAACTTACATTCTAACTGCATTACGGTTACTTTTTCATCATAAGTTGGTGTTGTATAGTTGTATTCCACTTTTCCTCTTCCTATTAATGCAATTTTTTTTTAACTTTCAGTTCCTGTGATACATGTGCTGAATGTGTAGGTTTGTTACATTGATATACATGTGTCATGGTGGTTTGCTGCACCTGTCAACCCGTCATCTAGGTTTTAAGCCCCACACGCATTAGGTATTTGTCCTAATGCTGTCCCTGTCCTGTCTCACCACACCCCAGTAGGCCCCGGTATGTGATGTTCCCTGCCCTGTGTCCACGCATTCTCATTGTTGAACTCCCACTTACGAGTGAGAACATGCGGTGTTTGGTTTTCTGTTCCCGTGTTAGTTTGCTGAGAATGATGGTTTCCAGCTTCATCCATGTCCCTGCAAAGGACATGAACTCATTCTTTTTATGGCTGCATAGTAAAGTTTTTATTTAGCCTTTTTGTAGTATAATTTACATAGTTCAGGAGTCCTGTCCCCTCATCACTCTACATCATCTCAGGTTTGTTCTGTTTCCTCCCTTCCCTTCCTTTCTTTCTTCCTCCCTCCTTTTTGTGTCTTTTCGATAGAAATCAGATTCAAGTGTGTGCTGATCATTTGCCATTCTCTCGTATTAAGAGTGGCAATTGGAAGCCAGTTGGAAGCTCGGTAAGGGTAAGGGTTTACTGTTTGATGACAATCACTGTGGGGTGATAGTTGAGTTTTTCATTAGGGAATTCTTGATATTATTAATACATGAATGTCTTTCCTGAGAAGTTGTCCTGTTTCTCCAGGGAAAAATATTCTTTCTCTGTATTATCAAATTCTAATATTAGGGTCAGGTATGGGAAGTGAAGGAAAGAGACTAGAAATGCTACTGTTCAGCTTAGAAACTTGAACTTAAGGCCCCAAACATTTCTTCTGCCCTTGGCTGGGCCCTAAGTCTCTGAGTATCCAGTGTATCCCCAGAGAATGAACCTATCTCCTGTGAGTTGTCTGTTGATACCAGGCAGGGCAGGTACGTGCGTATCCATCATTCTGTATACTTACAGTTAATCAGTTCCCCTGGTTTTAGCTTTGGACTTTATCCACACATTTTGTGGTACTTGGTTTCTCCAAGTTGTGACACTTCCACGGGTTCTATGACAATTTGTGCCTTCGAATTGGGGGTACACAGACCATTTATATTTAATGTGGTTACAGATACGCTTATGTAAATCTCTCCTGTTGCTATTTGTTTACTATTTGCTCCATCTCTTTTTTTCCTTTATTTCTGGCTCTCTTGGGATTTTTTTTAATATTCAATTTTCTATCCTTTATTGAGTTATCAGCTATTCTTTTTCAATGTGTTACTTCAGTGGTTCCTTTGGGGTTTATGGCACACAGGCTTACCTCATTTTATTGTGCTTCACTTTATTGTGTTTCACAGATACTGCATTTTTTACAAACTGAAGGACTGTGTCAGTGCTGCATCGAGCTAGGCGATCAGCATCATTTTTTCCATAGCACATGCTCAGTTGGTGTCTTTGTGTCACATTTTGGTAATTCTTGTAGCTTCTCAAACTTTTTCATTATTGTACCTCTTATGGTGATTTATGATCAGGGATCTTTGATATTACAATTCTATTTATCTTGGGGTTCCATGAATCAAGCCCATAAGAGAAGGCAAACTTAAATGATAAATGTTGTGTGTGTTGACTGCTTCACCAACTAGCTGTTCCCCCATCTCTCTCACTTTTATCTGGCTTTCCTATTCCCTGAAACGCAGTGATACTTAAATGAGGCCAACTAATGACCTACAATGGCTTCCAAGTGTTCACGTGACAAGAAGGATTGCGTATCTCTCACTTTCAATCAAAAACTAGACATGATTAAGCTTAATGAGGAAGGCATTTCAAAAGCTGGGATAAGCTGAAAGCTAGGCTTCTTATACCAAACATTTATCCAAGTTGTGAATGCAAAGGAAAAGTTGAAGGAAATTAAAAGTGCTACTCCAGTGAACACATGAATAATAGGAAACAAAACAGCCTTAATGCGGTTATGGAGAAAGTTTGAGTAGTCTGGATAGAAGATAAAACAAGCTGCAACATTTCCTCAAGCCAAAGCCTAATCCATACAAGGTCCTAACTCTCTTCAGTTCTTTGAAGGCTGAGAGAGGTGAGGAAGCTGCAGAAGAAAAGCTTGAAGCCAGCAGAGGTTGGTTCATTAGATTTAAGGAAAGAAACCATCTTTATAACATAAAAGCAAGGTGAAGCAGGAAGTGCTGATGTGGCGACAGCAAGGTGTCCACATGTGATCTAGCTAAGATCGTTGAAGGTGGCTACAATAAACAATAGATTTTCAATGTAGATGAAACAGGCTTCTATTGGAAAAATATGTCATCTAGGAATTCCATAGCTAGAGTGGAGAAGTTAATGCCTGGCTTCAAAGTTTCAAAGGACACATGAACTGTCTTGTTAGGTACTAATGCTGCTGGTGACTCTGAGTTGAAGGCAATCCTGATTTACCATGCTGAAAAACCTAGGGCCGTTAAGAATTATACTAAATCTACTTTGCCTGTGCCCTGTAAATGGAACAACAAAGCCTGGATGACAGCACATCTGTTTATAGCATCATTTACTGAATATTTTAAGCCACTTTTGAGTTCTGTTGCTCAAAACAAACAAACAAAAAAAGACTTCTCTGAAATTATTACTGATCACTGACAATGCACTTGGTCACCCAAGATCTCCGATGGAGATGGACAAGATTAGTGTTGTTTTCATGCCTGCTAACAAAACATCTATTCTGCAGCACACAGATCAAGGAGTAATTATGACTCTCAAGTCATATTATTTCAAAAATACATTTTGTAAGGCTATAGCTGATGGAGCTAGGCAAAGTAAATTGAAAACCTTCTGGAAAGGATTAATTTATTCTACATGCCATTAAGAACATCTGTGATTCAGGGAAGGAGGTCAAAATAGCAACATTAACAGGAGTTTGGAAGAAGTTGATTCTAAACCTCATGGATAACTTGAAAGGATTCAAATTTCAACAGAAGAAGTAGCTGCAGGTATAATGGAAATAGCAAGATAACTAGAAATATTAATAGAAGTAGAGCCTGAATAAGTGATTGAATTGCTGCAATCTCATGATCAAATTTGAATGTATGGGGCGTTTGCTTTGCTTCCTATGGATCAGCAAATAAACTGTTTCTTGAGATGGAATCTACTCCTGGAGAAGATGCTGTGAACATTGTTGAAATGACAACAAAGACTTTAGAAAATACATAAACTTAGTTGATAAAGCTGTGTCACGGTTTGGGAGGATTGATTCCAATTTTGAAAGAAGTTCTATGGGTAAAATGCTATCATATAGCATCATATGCTATAGATAAATCTTTCCTGAAAGAAAGAGTCCATTGATGTGGCAAACTTCATTGCTGTGTTATTTTAAGAAATTGCCACAGCCATCTCAACCTTCAGCAAGCACCACCCTGATCAGTCAGCAGCCATCAACACTGAGGCAAGACCCTCCACCAGAAAAAAGATTATGACTCATTGAAGACTTAAATCCATAGAATTTTTGAGCAATACAGCACTCTTCAATTAAGGTATATACATTTTTTAAGACATCATGCTATAGCACACTTAATAGAACTACAGTATAGTATACACATAACAACATTTTTAGAAACTGGGAAACAAATTTGTGTGACTTGCTTTGTTGAAATATTTGCATGATTGCAGTGATCTGCATCTGAACCTGCAATATCCCCCAGGTATGACTGCACTTACACACTTAGGCATACTATACCTATGTTATCACAGTCTTTCTTCACCTGATAGTATATACTATCTTTTACTGCAGTCTATCTTCAAGCGGTACTGTATCACTTCACATAGATGAGTTTTCAGCTTAATAATCAAGCAGAACCCTATGAAGTTCTCTGCATGTGTCTCTGTACAGGTCTCTCCTTTTTGATTTTTGCCCTTTTGAATTCTTAACCTCCCTGGATTTCCAGCTCTGTCCTTCAACAGAGGGAGACCTCCAGGCAGTGCCAGGTTTCCTTCCCTGAGCTGCACCTGAGAGATTCTCTTTAGTCATTAAAGTGGGGGCCATTGTATTGCTCAGTTGTTTTCCATCTCTCAAGAATCACTGTCCTTTGTTGCTAGATAACCAATGTCTTGATAACCATTGTATCAAATATTTTATCTGCTTTTTTAGTTGTTTCAGGAGAGAGTATAAATCTAGTTCTCTGTTGCTCCATCTTGGCTGAAAGCAAATTACACAGTAATTGACATAAGAATGTGTTGTTTCTTCTTCTCTGATGTCTCCTTTCATTTCCCTTTGTTCTTGTTGGTTTACACCTTTTAAAAAAAATGCATTGCTGTCACTTTAATGGTATTTCAGGAGAGAGGTGGATTCCAGAAAGAGAACTGATGGTGGATTGATCACATGCATTTACATCTCCATAATACTTCTCACTAACTATGGCTGACATTTGAGACCAGAGCTGACATTTGAGATGAGATTTTTTTTCCATTTTTAGTATTACTGGTAAATTTAATAGAAAAGGATTAATGAACACAATTTGTTAGCTGTTAACCTCCACGACTGAATTATTTTTACAGATATAAAAATACCTTCTAAGTTGCACACAGATCTTGGAACATAACACGACAAATCCAATTTATGTTCACTGATGAGCAAGAATTATTTTTATCCACTTTTTATATGTCTATGTGTATAATCCTAAAAATCTAGCATGTGGCCCAAGGCAAGTCAACTTGAGGACATGTTTCCCTTTGTCACATTAATTACTTCAAATATTACTTCCCTGCTATGTTTTTGTAAGCATCTGTGACTATACAACAATGAATAAGGCATAGTCGTTATCTTCAAATTCTTTATAATTTCGATTCTAAGGGTATGTTAGATGAGTGAATTCCACATTACCTGTCTTATGACCCAAAGTAACGTTTATCAAATGGTGCTAGAGATATCTACAAGATGTTCCTGGGATACAGAGAGGGAACCAGGCTTGGAGTATCATGCTGACCAAAAGCTACAGGGAATCTGGAGAAGGGGACCCACAAACAGATCCTCAGAGTACAAACGAGGGTTAGAGAGAAGGGGGGACGTGTTTCCCAGCAGAAGGAAATACATCTGCAGAGAAAGAGAGCTGTGAAGGATAACAGCATACCTCCCAGCCATTAGTGTGCGGGTGCTGAGGGAGGCAGGAGCGCAGGCCAGAGGCCATCACTCTCTTGGGGAAGAAGGCACTGATTCCTTGGGAAAGATAACTTCTGTGAACTTTGACACACGTTATAGAAAGCTGTCATATTTGTAATCTAAGAAAGAGTGTGAGACCCTTAGTCAGCAATGAATTAAGAAATGAATTAGGAATAGAAACTAAGAAAAGGAACAGTTTGCTTCTTTTAAAACATTAAAGTTGATCTTACAGTCTTTGTCTCTGAAGCATGCAGTTCATGCCAAAACTCCAAAGTCCTCATTTTAAAAGCTTGAGATTATTGGGCATTCCTTGCACTAATTTTAATCTTATTGAATGTGTTTTTATTAAATCAGCATTCATGTTGATCAAAACTTGAAATTTGTACAAATCATTTCTTCATGCCTTTCTCAGAATAGTTCTCCTTGTAGAGAAGGTTGGAATTGTCTAAGTATGTGAAGCGAACTTCTATAAAAAATGTTTTGAAAATTTTTAAACATTGTATTAATCATTCACAGTGATGTGAATCTGTCATAGATTAAAAACCTGGGGATGTTCAAAATGATAATATCATCCTGTGAAAAGTCTAATTTTGTTTCTGAGTTGCTGAAAAACAAAATAGGGGATTATTCTAATAGTATCTAATTTGGTTCCTGATTACCTCATCTTGAATATTCACAATCATGTATGTCTGAGTGCAACATAAACATTAGTATGAGATGTCATTTTTCTATTCTGAGCTATTTTTAGGGCAGGTTTATTATTTTGTAAGCAAAAAGGATAATTTATCATTGAATCCCAAGCCCTAAAATGCCAACTCCTAGAAAGATGCATGTTTCTATTTAAAGCTCTTCAATACAGGATGACAATCTCTGATGCAATGTAATGCGAACAGCATATAGTAAATATTAATTGAGTGATTTAATGATGTATTTCCTGAGAGTATTTGGCAAATAAGGATGGAAGAAATTTGTCTATCTAAGATTTGAGCATTTGTTAAAGGTAAGCGTCTAATGAGTTAGCTTGCCTAAATGTTCCAGTGTATGCTTTTCATTGCAGTTTTCAGTCATTTACTGCCCCCAACTCTGAAAAACATTTTTAATAAAAAGTGCTGCAGGAGCAGGAGATTAGAAAGACCTTCACACCCATGCCAAAGTTGAAATTTCCCTGCAGGCAACGGCCATGAAGGTACCCCCTAGAAATCTTTGTTTATCGTATGAAATCTCTTACTTCTCTTCGTAGTTACCTGCTCTGTGAAAACCACATGCCTAGGAAGGTTGTTTTTTTGTTTGTTTGTTTGTTGTTTTTTGACAAGGAGTCTCACTCTGTCATCCAGGCTGGAGTGCAGTGGCAGTGCAGTCTTGGCTCACTGCAACCTCTGCCTCCCAGGTTCAAGTGATTCCCCTCCCTCAGCCTCCCAAGTAGGTGGGACTATCGGCTTACACTACCATACCTGGCTAACTTTTGCATTTTTAGTAGAGATGGGGTTTCACTGTGTTGGCCCAAGCTGGTCCCGAACTCCTGACCTCAGGAGATCCACCTACTTTGGTCTCCCAAAGTGGTAGGATTCCAGGTGTGAGCCACCACACCTGGCTGGCCTAGCTAGTTATTAATAATAGTGTTCTGGTCACTCACTGTGGCAGTGAAAAAACAACTTGAAGATTTCACTGGGACCCAGGCACATTTTCTAAGTGTCTAGAAACTAAGTATCTAAGGACACTTTGCTGATATAGAGACAGTCAAGAATATAACTGTTTCAGCCAAAGATTGTCCATGCATTACAACATACGTCAAATTAGAAAATGCAAGTTAAGTTCTCTGAGTACATAGTGAACACTCAGTAAGTATGGTATGTACATACATATGCATCATGGAACCAGAGCCATTAGCTCTTAAGTGTATCACATCAGTGTATGAATTGTGCTAAGAAGCAGCTTTGTCTCACAATTAAAAACTGAATAGGAAATGAACTCTTTTGCCTCCCCTCTCTTTACAGACCATTCTTACGATAGGGTAATGTATTTCCTGTTTTAGGAAATTGCTTGGTGAGGAATACTTACTAGAGAGCCCCAATATTATTAATAGATTATAATCCAGAGTTTATTTCTAGGGGTTTTATTTTGAAAGGAAAACCACGTCCTCCCATTGAAGCTCTGTTACATACGCATAGCAGGCTCCCAGAGCAGTCCACAGAATCCTGCTTAGCTCATATTGTGGCTGAGCATAGCACTGATCACATAGCATCTTCCTAGGTATATATTAGGTAACAAAGATTCTCAGGGGAAATGCACTCAGCTGCCTTCCTGGAATGCTAGGAATACATATGACTTTCCTTTTGACAATGACAGCCTCTACACCAAGACCTTCTGGGGAGAGGGGACTTTACAGCTAGGTCATGGAGGTTGTTTAGGGGTGAGGAACGGTGGTGATTTCTGCACCTCTGCCACAGAAACTTGCAGGATGCTCCTAATCAGGCTGGCTGCCTGTTCACATGCCCTTCCCTTTGATTCCAGGAGATCAGTGATTGCCCTTTCTCTGGGGTTCCACTCACTCCAGCCCGGAGCCTGTTTCCTTAGTCCACAGTAGCAGGAAACAGAATTTCTTAGCTTCTCTATTCTTTGGAAGAAGGCAAAGGGACAAATGTGATAAGAATGGGTCTCTTGTATGTCCAAAGATAGAGTGTAAGATCTGCTGATATTGTGGAGAAAAGCTTATACCCTGTAAGATAAATCTGCATTTTTTATTTTTGAAGCAGGAAGCTTGGCATGGGATGAGGGACAGGAAAAAAAAAAAAAGCATAGCGAATGCCATGGTCCAGTGTAGGTTGCATATAGGGCTAATCCTGGGGCTCTGGCTAGGAGCAGCCTCCTTGCCACCACAGCCCTGGCAGCACAGACACAGATGGGGAATTGAGTTGAAAGGCAGGACTGAGTGAGCGAAGCAGGAGATGATGAGTACCGCGCAATTATCAGTATATTTTGCAGAGCAAGAAATGAGGAAAGGAAAGCCCTCTGAGTGGTATCTGAGAGATGGGAAGGAGTGATGGTCCTTTCCAATGGTGGGTGAAAAGTAAGGAAGTCTTCTAGTGACCAGAGTCTGGGGCCTGACTGTCATAGAAACCAGAGCAGGGCCTCTCTGCCCCATGACCACACAGAATGTGCATCTAGAGCAAATTCTTCTAGGGTGACAACTCTGATGGCCTTGCTGTTGTATGCATACATGCTGTTGTATAAAACCAGTGTCCACATCACGGGCACAGAGGGTTACTGTTTCGTACTGTTAATTCAACCGAAGTGTGATAGGATACCTGTTTCTGATATAAAAGCTTTCTTCCTTACCAGTAAAATTTGACACCTCAAAGAATGATTAGGATACTTTGTATCCCTCTCCCTCTTTTCGACTGTAAGTTCTTTGTGTATAACTGGTAAGACAACTTCTATTAAGCTCTGGTTATGGGCAGGGACTCTGTGATCAGAGGTACAGTTTCTGTGTTCAAGGATGAAGGACATCCAGGTAGATTGACCTATTATAATATGGTCCCATGATCTAGGGATGTGCCCGATACTCAGGGAGCACAGGGGAAGCACTGAGGGGAAGAGAAGACAGAAAAGGCTCCCACTTGAACTTACTTTGAAGGATGAAGAGGTGTTAGCCCATCGTCAGGAAATCGAGGTAGCAAAGGCCAGTCCAAGCAAAGGGAACATCATAATTCATTTTGGTTACAAAGGTGTGGAGTGAGATTGGGCAGCTGCATATTGTCTCTTAAGTCTGGCACATCAGCTAGGCAAGGAGTGACGAGACACGGGCAGGGGCCGGAGGAGTCTACAAAGATAAATGTGCCTGTATCATCTTACACCAGTGAGGAAATCTGTTTTATATTTTACAGTCTCTTTCAGATGATATATAAAGTTGAGGCACTTTCTGATGTCGTGGATTGCTTAGATGGAACCTCAATTTTGTTTATATTCACAAGCTTTGAAAACTTCTAAATATAGCAGTTTATAGAAGATACAGTAAATTCGTTGAATTGAACCAAACCACACTTAACTATCATATTGGAGATTAATTATAAAGGACTGGTTTTGTTTGCTGTTTTTCAGGTACCATGATCAACAGGATGTTACTAGCAACTTCCTTGGAGCGATGTGGTTGATATCAATAACTTTTCTCTCCATTGGTTATGGTGACATGGTACCTAACACATACTGTGGAAAAGGAGTCTGCTTACTTACTGGAATTATGGTAAGTGTCTTTATACTTCACATCTCTTTTATTTACGCTCAAGAAGGCACTTAAACCACTCAGTCCACGTGCATAAGTAATTGTGAGCTACTTCTTTTCCCATCAGCAGGAAATCAGTATAAATAAATCAATTTTGTGTTGAGAGAGAATGTCAACAGTTTTCCTCTTAATTCTTCTCATCATGAAATTCTGTTGAAGAGGTAGAGCTGTTTGATTGCCCCTTGTGGGGCATGCACTAATTTGATAAACTAATTTGATCTTGGAGCTTTGGCTTCAGAATCAGGAAGTCCTTTAAGACTGTGTCCTCCCATCTCCTACTAGCTGTGCAAATTTGAGTAAATTGTAAAATATAGCCCATAATAACTATCTTGAAATGTGTTGAAGGGTAGAAGATATATTAATTATAATATTTATTTTTCTTTCTTTTAACAAATGTTTGTTGAGTGCTAGGCACTGGCCTAGGTACTAGGAATACATCAAAAGAAGATAGAAACTTACTGCCCTGCCTTCATGGAGCTTACAAGGGAAGACTTGCATTTTAAAAATAATAAATAATGGTTCATTACATTTGTGAACTAGTAAAGCTTCTGACCTGTTTTGGGCCTGGGGGAGAGGGATGGGATCTACTCAGAGAAATCATCACTAGAAAATTGATTTTTACGCTGAAGTGAGAAGGGTCCATACCCAGGAAGGGAAGTAGGGAGAGCATTCCAGGAAGAGGAAATGGTGTATTTGAAGGCAATGAGGCAAGAAGGAGCTCAGTACAGTGGAGCCAGGTCATTGGGCCAGGAGTACACAGAGCAAAAGGGGAGAGCGGCCTGGCATGAGGCAGGGACAGGAGGCCACGTCTTGTGGAGCACTTGGGAAAGGTCTGCTACTGACATGCCATCGTTCTTCTGGCATGCCTCATAGGCTCAGACATCTTTTTTGCCCCTCCACACATGACTAGCCAGGACCACTTTTTTGCTCCATTTGTTTTTTAGGTATAGGAAATGGGAGGCTAGCAAGCTGTGATTATAATGTGGTATGAACTTCTAAATATTTAAGCCAGAGGTAGTTTCAAATTGTTGATGCACAGTTTTCAATGACCTAGGCTTGTCTGCATTCTTTATCTACTTTTTAAAGTTTGCTTACAGCAAAGAGTGTCATCTTGATCCTTGTGTGGTTTCTGTCTACATGAGGATGTGAACGAGTACTGCAGGTTCCAAATTGTCAGAATTTCTGAAATCAGGTACCCTGTTCAACACCTCTAACTGTATTCACCCACAGGCTGGTAGGAGAGAGCAGAGGGTTGTCATTTGAGGGCCTCTGAGTGGTGGCCAGTGGAGGGTGCACACCTTTGCAGAAGCTGCCTGGGAAGACTGCTCCAAGAGTCACAGCTAAGTGGAAGGAGAGCGTGCCCTTGGCATAGACAGGCAACATCCTTCTCCCCCCTCGGTAGTGTTCAACTGGGATAAGGCAGCTAACTTTGAAAATAAGAATCCAGGGTCAATTTTAATGTCCCAGTAGTAACAAGATGGCCATTTCAAGTCCCAATTGTAGAAAATATAGTTTGGGGGCATAATTTAACATTATTTGCCTTTAAAAGAAAAATAATAGTTTTAATTATAGTGAACTTTAAAAAAAAAAACGGTATGCTGCATTATCTGTTTGTTTACTATTGGATCACTTCCCCTTTTTTCCTCAAATAATAGCATTTTATTATGTGGTATAATGCTTTGGGAAATGTAATTTGCATAGATTATTTTTAGGAGGCCCATAACAAGTCCACAAGGGATATAAATGATGCTATTTATAAAAACTAGTAATTGCAGAGTCTTTCCCCTAGTGCTTCTTAGAAACAACTTCCTTAGTGTTACTTTTTGTCAAGATGGTACCCTCTTTTATTCTCCAATCAGGTGTGACTCAAGGGTCATGTGCACAGGCTTATTTGCCATGGAATCTGAGCCAAATTTGAGGTTAACCTTGCCTGGGTTTTACAAAATGTTTATCGTTCCTTGATATTTTCTTGTTCCTCGTGTCTCAAAAACTGTTCCTTCAAAGTCTCATCAGATAGTACAAATCTTTTATTTACCTTCTTGAACTGCCTCTTGCTCAGGTTTCACTACTGATCTTACTTTGCTTAAAAAAGAGAGGTTATGGCCTGGCACTGTGTCCCACGCCTGTAATCCCAACACTTTGGGAGGCCGAGGCAGGTGGATCACCTGAGGTTGGGAGTTCGAGACCAACCTGACCAACATGGAGAAACCCCCTCTCTACTAAAAATACAGAATTAGCCAGGTGTGGTGGCACATGCCTATAATCCCAGCTATTCAGGAGGCTGAGGCAGGAGAATCTCTTGAACGTGGGAGGCGGAGGTTGCAGTGAGCCGAGATTGCGCCATGGCACTCTAGCCTGGGCAACAAGAGTGAAACTCCATCATCTCAAAAAAAAAAAAAGAGAGAGGTTATAGTACCATTAAATATATGTGGACACAAAAATGTTATATGTAATGGAATTTATGGTGACTTCGTTCCAGCCCTTAAGCTTATGGTAAAAGAGTCCCTCTATTCTTAGGCTGAGGAGCTCCATTCCCTCTCCTTCATAAGGATCAGACTTATTTCCTAATTAATTGACTTGATCAAAATTGGTTTACTTGCATACAGAGAAATTCACTAATATTTGAGTAACATATTTGAGATGCTCTGTAGAGTTGGATTATCTCTTCTTCTAGACTAAGCAGATTCCCATGGAGTCAGGCTACGGGGCAGTCTTCCTGGGATTCACTTCTGGCAGTTGATTACATCTTACATCAGCTCCTTAGGGATCAAGAGCATATGGATGAAAGTGACCTAGACACTCCTATGGAGAATGTAGAAATTTCTTCATTACCAAGACCAATATGGGAATTAAAGCTTAAGAGACCAAGATCTCTTATTATTATTTTTATAAAATAAGTCATGAGATTGCCTAATAGAAGAAATAAAAGAAAACCACTCACTACCCTTCAAGAGAAAACCATTATGGTTGTAATTACTTATTTTCTCTTTTTATTCTTCTACCCTTCTGCTATTTGAGGAAGTACTGAAGACCTGAGGGTTTACTATTGTAAAGGTCATGATAAACAATGGGATGATTTCTGAGTAGCTTTGTACTTTTGGTTGAAGATGGTAGGCAAGTAATATGGTTAGATCACAGTGTCTATCAGCTTTTGGACAGCACCAGCTAGTTTCTCAATGTCTCCAATTTTCCAATAAAGTAATTGTTTTACTTAGCATTTACAAAGTTATTTTATCTTCCTAGAAATATATATATATATATATAAAACACATCCTGAAAGCTATGAATTCTCCCACAACTATGAATATATATGATTGTTTCAAGAGTGAAAAATAGCCTTGTGGGTAAGGGTATCTTTCATCTTATACTGGAATTAAGGTTGCTCATTTGTTCTTTTTGCTTCTCTATTTCTGTAAAATTACAGTGACTCTTGGTGGCCTTTTGACTAGAGTATGGATGACTGGATTTTTTGGTTTAATTATCTTTAAATATCGAGTAATATCTGTTCATTCCTAGGGATGCAGGTTGTTATTCAATAAATGGTTCTCTAATAGTGATTTATAAACCACTAGACTTTGACAACATCTAGCATGACTCCCTCAACAAAACTGAGGACACTTCAGATATCAGTGATTTAGGTTTCTTCCATCCCACTAGTAGTTCTATGTAAACAAAAGCAATGCGTAAAGCTTTCGCAGTTCATAGCAATTTGAAAATCACTACGCTAATTAAATTTTAAAATTTTCTTCAAGGAGCAAAAAAACAAGTCAGTTCAGGACAGAAGCCTTTACACAGCCTTGCCTTTTCCTTAAGATTTGATAATAATCCTTTCCACGTTAAATTTGCCCTGTGCCGAGGAAATCTTAATTTAACATCACATGGTGACTCCATTAGTTGTCAGTTAAACAAACAGTTTGCATCCTGAAGAGCAAAAACACTACCCTGTTAAGTCGCTAAGAGGGTGTTCCAAAACAGCACGAATTAGCTAGAGCTCATAAAAAAGAAGTGATTGGTATGAAAGAATGCGAAACCTAAGGTCTGATTATACTCCTCTTCCTGTAACACTCTCTGTTTCCATTTGAGGATTTGTTTTCCCCCGCCAGTGTACATAGAAATCCTGCAAAACTGATCTGAAGCCATTCCTTAGTGTTGAATGTTTGAGAATGTGCAAAACACTCAAGGATTTTTAAAAATGTCTTACACAATTTGACATTGGGTGTTTAATTTTGAAGAGGTTTTAACTTTTGTATTGCTTGCTTTTTGGTTCTTTCTGGTGCGTTCACTGAATCTCATCAGATAAAGCCCCAGTGAAGAGAGTATATCTTTAAGTTCTTACATACAATAGTTTCTATTTTGTGCAGAGCAGCTGGAGGAGATGGGCCTTTTCAGTCATAAGGCTAAATTCCCCACCAATGTCCTTTCTTGAGGACCTTCACTTCCCACCAAGAAATTTCATAAGTGGATCGCAAAAAAATGTCTTAAATATGACAGCTGCCGTCTTCCGGGTACAGGAAAGTATAGGTGGAAGTTGTTGTGACCTTTTAGCACACAGCTCATGGACTCCACAATTTCACCCAATTTTTCTAAACTATCAGCACTTTTAATTGGCAGAGCTGCCCTTCCTATCTCTGAAGTACCTGCACTCACACTGGCACTGTTGCTAATCAGGAGATTTAAACCGAGGGATGATTCATTGTTGATGACCAGTTTTATGAGGTACTTCCTTCTTTCTGACCCTAAAAGTAGAAGAATGACCTGAACAAGCAAATCACTATAAAGGAGGCTCGGGTTGCCCAGGCCCAGGCTTAATAACTGGGCTCAAACACCACACACTCTCCCCTCTTTTCTTACAATGAGGACATTTGAAATTGACCTCCACCCTTAGTAGCAAATATCAACTTGTATTTGAAGACACTTAGAGGGCATTTTTGATAGAATTTGTCATCAAAACTTCCTTGAAACTTATTTATTTTCATGACCTGAGGAAACCTTGTAAAACTCCAATGGGATATAATATTAAAGCAGAGTGCTTTATAAAATGTTACTTGCCAGAATTGATTGTTTCACATGTTTTTATGAAAGAATAATTATTTATGTCAGTCAAGTATAGTAAAAATGTTTTTATGGTTCTGGCACATTGAGTCAGTCAGCCCCAGGGACAGAAAAACAGGCAATGTGTTCAAGTATTTGTTTTACCTTCCTTTTGGAGGGCAAGCTGATTTGTGAAAGATCTTAAAGCTGTTTTATTTTTACATAAAAGCGTGATTTTTTTTCAAGTTAACTATTTTGGATAAATTTTAATTATAGGCTAATAGTCTATTTAGTCTAATAAACTGGCTGTCAAACTGAATTTTGAACTTTGAGGAGCAGGAGCTATTATAAATCCCACAGGAGGATACTTTAAGCCTAGAATATTTTGAACATTAGTGTTTTTTATCAGAGCCATTCTCTGTAGCAGTAAAAATTCTGGAATTTGTTTAAAAAGTATAAATTTCATTATTATGTTGAATCTTTTGAAGATGTCTTTTTCACAGTTGAAATAATCAAAACCTTTCCACAGTGTGTTATGTGAAGGAATTTCTCTTTTTCATAGGCTTGTATCCTTGTTATTAAAGCTTGATCCCAAAATGGTTTTTCAAAATGATTCTTGGAAGTATTTGCAGGATCAGCATAAGTAGATGATTTAGGGCAAAAATGTGTCACATTTTAATTTTTCAAATATTATGTGATACATGCTTTTGAGGGAAATGGGATACCTGAACTTCTTTTACATCCAAGGGCTCAACATGGCTTACAGTTTCTGCGCTATAATGGAGAAGAATACAGTGGAGAAAAACACTACATTTTAATTTTAACTTGGCAGCATCTAAGACTATCCACGTGTTGGGATTTCCCTAGAGGTACATAGGTAATAGTAACTAATTGTCATTTGTCTGTTCAGTTTAATCTGGCTTGGCTTAGGGTAGTAAACGTTAACAACACTTGTCATTACTTACCTTTTCTAAAGCAAAGTCCTTCTCCCTCTGCCCCCCTTAACTTATCCCTTTTTCTCTCTTTCACCATCTTCTCTGTTAGAAGGAAAGATGATAAACAAGCCAAGCGAAACCTGAACCTTTGCTTTTAATATATTGACTTCCTAAATACACTGTATTTTCTTCATTTTGTTTTTAAATGCCCAAGCATCTTGAAGTGACAGGTTAGTGATTTTGCTTAAGTTTTTTCTAAGAAGATAAATGAAATGAGAGAAAAGTAACCAGGATACATTTTCTGACTTTGGTGAAAGGAATATGACTCATCTTGTTAAATGCATACAGGGATCTTAATTTCAGAGAGTAACATATGTTAGTCCCAACTGTTTCTACATCGATTGTGGTGGTGACAAGCTTTGGAGAAAATGTTGTAAAATCGTACTTATTTCCATTCTTATTCACTTTATGAAACGGAATCGTCCTGGAAATAGACACTGGGTGGACAATAATATTATGCCATTACTTAAATTACTATAACCATGAATATGTTGGCAGGAATTTACCTTGAACCTAGAAAGCTTTCGGAAGTGAGCCAGCTTCATCTTGCATAACTCTAAAAATTAAAAAATAAAGGTTACTTTCATCAGATTCTCTTACGATTTATTAATCTAGGGAAGTATAAGTTTATGGTTTTCTTCACTAAAATAAACAGTTAAGGGGTTTGTATTTGAACAAAAAGGTTTCTAAGTGGCTCTGGAGGTATAACTTAAAGGAGTAGTGTTAGGATAATGGAGTGAGGTATATAGATAATAGTTTTGATAATTACTAAATGATTGGATTAATTTCTTTTCCACTTTGCAACAGAGGTACTCATTTTTAATGCATGTCTTAGATGACACCCGGTGAGAAATGGGCCAGTAGCAGAAAAGAATGGAGCCTGAGAATAAACACAAATAAAAATCCACTTTCCAAGGCTCTTGATTCCAGTGATTTTCCACTCCTGTTAGGATTTTGATTTCTTTCCAGAAAGATCTCAGCAGAGGCCACCTGCCAGGGGAGAACAATATTCAACTTTTTATGCCAACTACCCTCTCATAGCTGTCTCTGCAGTAGTTAGGAACCCCTCAGGTTTTTATGACCTCTGCTTATTAAAGAATCATTGCTGCCCTGAACCACCAAGTTCCTGTAGAACCCAGTGATTGAGGAGTAGTACCTAGGAGCATATCTACAAAAGGCTAGCCTGTGTTTGTCGAGCATACGCTATACCATACAGCAGGTAGCTTTATGGTGGTTATCATAGGTGGTCACTGATTTGGTTTCATCAGCCTGCTAGAACTCTTTCTTTAGACTTCATGGTAGATGTTTGAAAGTCAGTAAAATGGGTAGAGATGCTTCCAAAGGCCATTCTTTTCTTTCATTAGTACCCAGATCTAAAATACCTCGCTTTCATTGTCTGCATATGGCACAAAATATCAAAATAACATCACACCCTCTGCCTTTACTTTCCTTGTTTATCGTGTCTTCATAAGTCAGTCAAATGACTCTTATAAGAATTTTGACCCTCTTGTTTTAATAGGTTTATGGAGTTTGTCATAGTCACTGCATATCCTCCTTTATCTAAAGCAGTGACTATACCTTGGGATCACCTGGAGAGCTTTTAAAAAATTTCAGACACCTGGGTTTTATCCCTGGAGATGAAGATTTGCTGTGAGGCACACAGCTCTCAGCACTAGGATTTTTACAAACTCTCCAAGTGATTCTATAGTCAAGGTTAAAAACTACCAATTTAAAAGTTATACCAGTTACACAATAGGGACAATGTTGATTATTTTGATAATCATATTGCTTGATTTTTAGACATTCATACTTTATCATATAAAATAGGTGAATTTGAATTTCCTGTCTTGCTTTGAAATACAGTGCTTCATAATGCATTATGGCTATGGAATAATCACAAATAAGAATATACAGTCATCCCTTAGTATCCATGGGGGTTCAGTTCCAGAACCCCACTTCCTGCCATGAATACCAAAATTCACGGATGCTCAAGTCCTTTATAAAATAGTGTATTACTTGCATGTAACCTAGGTACATCCTCCTGTGTACTTTAATCTCTAGATTACTTATAATACTTTTAATACAATATAAATGCTCTGCAAATAGTTGCTAAACAGTATTGTTATTGTTTAAAGAATAATTACAAAAGAAAACGGTCTATAATGTTCAGTACAGGTGCAGCCATCCATTTTTTTACTGAAATATTTTCAATCCAGTTGAATTCATGTATACGGAACCCATGGATATAGAGATTCAAGTGTATGTGATCCTAAATATAGATATAGATATTATGAGATGAAGTAAAGAGTAGGAAAAATATCAATGCTAATCAAAGTTTATAACTGAATAATCATTTACTCTGCTTTAGTTGTCTCATCTCTAAAATCAGAAGGCTAAATCAGAATGTCTAAATACTTGGCAACCTCTTTCTCTGATCATGTGATCAGTAGCACTTTCTTTCTGAGGATACTGATTTCTTCATAGAACTAGATGGAACAGGCTATTTAAGCCCTCTGGAAATATATTAAAGCAGTATTGGCTCATCATTGTGGCAATGTTTCCATGATCATAATGATCAGGTCGTGTATTTATTTTCTCCTTTTCTCCTCAATCGTGTCCCTCCTGCCAGATTTGTTGCAGCAACTCATTGAGTAAGCCCAAAGATGGATTCTTTGGTCTATAACTGAATAGCTAAATCACATCTACTTTCTGTGCCTCTGTCTAGCGGACTCTGCCTGTGCCCTGCCATTTACATTGTTATCTGTTTGTTGAGACTAGCTGGGCAATGTCTATGGTTCTGTGGTCCTCTCAGGGTTGAGATTCTATCTGGAGGTGTGACTTCCCTTTCACAGACCCCTGAGGTAGTTCCTCACATGCCCCCTTCCCTGCTGGGAGGTTGGCTGTGCCCAGGACTGATGAATTGGCTGCAGCACCTTGACCTTGCCTGGACCCTCCAATCGGTGCCCCAGCAAGTAGTTGCTCGTCTTTCAGCACAGAAGACTCTCACAACTTGGAATGAGCACACCTTGATCACGGAGCGGGAGGACTGTAATTCTTAGAGTACCACACAGAGTCTCTTTTTCAAGAGATCAGAACAATGGTCTGTAATTCAAAAAGGAACACTGTTGGTTTTTTCAAAATGAAGATGACCCGTGCCTTTCCTAGTGTCATGTTAGTAAACCTGTAAAATGGTATAATGGTTACCCCTTACCTTCAGTACTTCATCTATCTCTGTTGCCCAGGTTAAGATCACTGTGATCTTCCTGTTACGCTTCCTCTTGTGTGTGTGGAACACTGAAGCAGTGTATATGCTGAGATAATTTATTGTTTTTATTCCTGGTGCATTGCAGTTGATCACCTTGAAGGCCTGCTGATCTCATCTTAAGATTAGAGGTTTATTCTGTATGGAAAAATCCTTATTTCTACCCCATATACATTTATGCTAATCTACTCATTTGTTATTTGTTCCTATTATAATTATAGGTATATAACTGACTTGCTCTGTTTTTTAAAAAGTCTCCAAAAATTCACCAAGTTGCTTTTAGGCCATTTATTTCTTAGAATGGAAATGTTTTTTCCAAATATGCTTTTGTTCTTAAAATATGTAAACTAAATTTTTAATCCCAGTTTAAGGCACATTGCTTACATGTGTTGATCACACATTTTCTGTAATACTTATTGAAGACAATGTTTTTAATCCTGAGAAACTTTTGCATTTGATGCAAAACATTTTCTAATGTGTCTGAGACAGAAAGTAGTTAGTAATGCTTTGGGTTTCTCTTCTCTCCTTGTTTTCAGGGTGCTGGTTGCACAGCCCTGGTGGTAGCTGTAGTGGCAAGGAAGCTAGAACTTACCAAAGCAGAAAAACACGTGCACAATTTCATGATGGATACTCAGCTGACTAAAAGAGTAAGTTACTATCCATATATCTTCAAAGAGAATATTATTGTGATTTTTTCAGTGTTAGGAAATATGGTTTTTATTTTGACATCCGAAGCTGAAATGACATGGTTTGAAAGTATAGGCATTCTTGGAATCACTTCCATTTTATCACATTTTGAGAATAGACTATTTCTACCTTGAGGTCAGTTAGGAAGTAATTGGGCAGTCTTGGTATTTGGATAAAGACGAGTCACATAAATGTTAGGTATGCCTACTTGTTTAGATTTCAGTATAGTATATGAGGCCAATTCTTGGATTGAGTAGGAAGGAAAATACTATTAATGTAAAATAGTAATTTGATGGAAACGTGATTGAAAATGTTTTACTGAACTTCTAAGATCAAGTCACTGTTCTCAAGACAGGGTTGCAAAGACAAAAGAAACCACCACTAACTTTTAGAAGCCCAAGATAGGGCCAGAAACAGGCTCTTTCCTTGACTTACAGGCCATAAAAGAGATGTTAAAAATAGTATACCATCCAGTTGGGCAATCGCTGTCCAAATATTAGCAGAAGAAAACAGTAATCACAATGTTTAAGAGCACTTTCTGTGCCAGGCACTGTTCCAAGTGTGCCATGTGTATAAACTCACTTCATCCTCATAACAGCGTTATGAGGGAAGTGCTATTATTCTGGCCATTTTATAAATGTGGAAACTAAGACACAAAGGGGTTAGGTAACTTGCTCAAAGTCACCAGATCCAGGTAGAAAACTGCAAGAAGAGAAAGGTTTTTATTAGACTAAATTTTTAGCCTTTCTTGATAGTCACTTGAGACAAATACCAAAGTCAAAAAATTATTTTATAGTAGAGTCATCTTGCTGTGTAACTACTGCTCAATGTGGAATGCAATCAGGCTGTCAGTGAAATAACAAAATACATTGTCAACTTGGTAACTTTACCCATAAATGAATCAATAGATATTTCAAGCATAGTTCCAACTTCCAGTAGTGTTTTCACTCACTCTTGATTTTGGTTGTATATTTAAAAGTAATCTTGTTTAATTTGGTTGATACTTCCTAACAGGCCAGTCATTTTAATGCAAATATATATTTATATAGATTATACTTAGGAAATGAAAACATGAATTGCTATTGCCTGCTCATGCTAAGTCTTACCTATCAGACAGTCCTGTGATACTTCATTGCAGTTAGTAGGTCCACGTTTATAGTAGATGGTCAGAGCCTCCCAGGTTCAGATGCTACATTTTCAGCCTACATTTACCACTTTGGAATGTCTTCTACTCTCCATGACTTACTCTCATTTTCTTCAAACTCCTAAATTTGTTCTCAAAACTTGTGAACATCCCTGTATGAGAGTGTGCAGGGAAAAAGGTCAATGAGGAGCTGAATAAAGGCTTGGGTTTCTTTTACTTTTTAAAGATCTACTAGAGATAAAAATATGTGCATATGAGATTAGACTACATCTAATCCATAAATTGGAGCAGATGTTTTGTGTATTTCATCATGTGCATGTTTGGTCCTTTCAGGGCTCTATGCTGGGACAATTTGTGTTTAAGAGTCACAAGTTTTATAATATTCAAAAGAACACTTGCATTAAGACCCTTGTAATCCATATTATTTTACCATGAAGATTATACATTTCCTCAGGAATTAAGTTAATGCCACACTTAAGATATTAGGGAGAAAAATACCTTAAAATACCATGTCGCCCATATGTTTGCCTGTAAATCTTAACAGAAAAAAAAAAAGTGACAGAATCACAAATAAGAAAGCCAAGTTAGCATGTTTGGGCAGACTTCTCCATGTTTCATAAGCAGATTTTAATTTCATCTTAAGAAGGAAGCATATAGTTTCTCTAAATATTACTTTGGAATATTGATATTCCATATCTTAATTATTAAAACATTTTAAGAGTTAGAAAAGACAAAGAGTTAGAAAAGACAAAGACTTTGAGTACAAAATTTACAGTATCACACTGCCATCTACCACCTTTGATAAAAATTTTTTTATGAAGTTCACCGAGGTCAACCAGTTTCATTTGGGAGACATTCCAAGTTGGTTTTATAGTGTAGTTGCTGTATTCCAGGGCCTCTCAACCTTGGCACTCGTGACTTTTTTGGCTGAATAATTCTTTTTCATGTGGGACTGTCCTGTGTGTTCTGGATGTTTCTCACCATACTTGACTTCTACACACTAGATGCCAGTAGCACTACCCCCAACTTGTGACAACCAGAAATCCCTCAAGAGACAAAATCACCTGCAGGAGAGAACCACCTTTTAATGTGCTGTTCCACAAGGATTTGACATCTTAGAAAGGACAGTCTCTCTTAAAAGATACTGAGTCTACTGAATATATTGTAATTTCCTTTTTTGGAATAACATATAAAAAATATACTGTATACTAAATATGGTTGTCATGCTATGTTAACTGTTAAGGATCAAGAGCTAAAGAATCACATTCGAGTATTCCAAAGATTTTAAGCTTTTCCAGTACTGACCACTCAGAAAATCAGACGAAATCTCAGATGCTTCCTGCTTGGCAGAAAAATGCACGTGTGCTTGTGCTCATGGGTCCCCTAAAGTCCGGTCAGAGGCCCCTTTAGAGAACTATGGATCCAGGATCTAGATCTATGGATTTTGGTGACCCTCCTTCAGTTTTTATGAATGAAAAGCATCTTCCCAAACTGACAAAGTTTTCTGATGATGCTACAGCTTTTTTGTTGTAAGTTCTTGTATACTTTAAACTTCCTTTGGATAATGTTGCCTGAATTGTCAACTTATTGCCTGTTGAAAGCTTTTTCATTAAGTACTGTTCTGGTTTCAAATTTTACATTTTATATAATACTTACCATGCTTTAATAATTCTGTTATTTCATTACTACTTTTTTTTTTAAATTATACTTTAAGTTTTAGGGTACATGTGCACATTGTGCAGGTTAGTTACATATGTATACATGTGCCATGCTGGTGCGCTGCACCCACTAACTCGTCATCTAGCATTAGGTATATCTCCCAATGCTATCCCTCCCCCCACCCCACCACAGTCCCCAGAGTGTGATATTCCCCTTCCTGTGTCCATGTCCAACAATGATAGACTGGATTAAGAAAATGTGGCACATATACACCATGGAATACTATGCAGCCATAAAAAATGATGAGTTCATTACTACTTTTTAAAAGTAGAACTACTTTGCAGTATTTCTTGAGACTGGAGTCTCTTGAGACCGGAGTCTCTTATAGGTCTGAGAAATATACTCTAGTAGGCTTGCTGACAGATCCATTTTTTTTTTTTTTTGGAGATGGAGTTTTGCTCTTGTTGCCCAGGCTGCAGTACAGTGGCGCAACCTCCACCTCCTGGATTCAAGTGATTCTCCTGCCTCAGCCCCCCAAATAGCTGGGATTACAGGCATGCACCACCATGCCCAGCTAATTTTTTGTATTTTTAGTGGAGATGGGGGTTTCTCCATGTTGGTCAGGCTGGTCTGGAACTCCCGACCTCAGGTGATCCGCCTGCCTTAGCCTCCCAAAGTGCTGGGATTACAGGCGTGAGCCACCGCACCTGGCCGACAGATCCATTTAGTGACATCCAAGATGTCACTAAATAAAGATATTAATGTTAAAATGACACTAGAAGAAAACAGATTGCTGGTTTATAATACCCATTCCTGTATTATATATACTCAACAAGGTATAGGCAAATAATAGCCATTTTATAGTCCTCTCATTATTTTATACAAAGTCATCAACTTAATGAGTATCATTTACTTGGAATTTGATTCCATTTGCTTATTTATGGAAATTCCAAATGGACTCATATAAATGAGTATAAACTTTAAACTTTTAAAATAATTCTAAAATGCTGAATGATTTGTGAATAATTAAAAGTAAATAGAGATCTAAAAACCATACCTAGTAACTAAGATACAAACTCAAGGTTACTACATATTGTTAGAGAAAAATACAACTATTCCCTGAAACATTATCTAGAAAGAAATCATTTTTTCTGATGGTTAACAGGAGTAATAGTCACAGATGTTCTGAAATCTGAATATGACTCTAAAGAAAAAAGCAATATGAATGTTAAAAGATAGTCTGTTCTCCCAGGAACAGATGTAACATTCCAAGTCTTCCAGTTTGTATCTTTAGTGAACTGAACAATTTCTGTGAAAAATTATTCACTATGTACAGATTTTCAGGGGAACAATTTTATATAAAAGTTGTTTCTCTGTATGACTACATTAACCAAGTAAAATACTGTATTTGAAAGTAGAATACTATTTATTGTACATCAGCACTGAGAAGATTGTTTTGTCTAATCCTAAATATTTACATGACATTCTGCAATTCAAAAATGGCCGACAGGTACATGTGTCCAGAACAAACTAATGATTTTGAAGTGAAAACATAATACCATTACCTTGTCTCCTAGTTTAGTAAGACAGGACCAGCTATTTAATAGATTTACAGTTTATCACCTTACAGGGGCAATATATTTACCATGCAATATCTTTTGGAAATATATTATTATTACTGCTCATTCCATTCTGAGCAAACAGGAAATCTTGTAGTTTGATCCCCAGAATACCTTTTTGGAAAAGAAACTTGAAAACAAGCAATTCCAAAACCCAGACATAATTTTTAAAGTTGCTAGATACCCCACAAAGGATAATTATACATATTAATGTCCACTGTGGGTGTTGTTAATCTGTTAAGAATTCTCAATCAGATCCATAATAAGAACACTATTATGCAGTTATATAATTTTGTTTCCTGTATGTCTCTTAACAAGGGAACAGAAATTCTAAAGGATTTATTTCACATTGTCCTTGGCTCACAGCCCAGGGGGTTAACACATTAAAATGAATCACTTGGCTATGCCCTGTTCCACAGCTACAACATTCACCCAGGCCTCATACACCTGACCTAAAGGAAAACTGGAGAGAGAGGTTGGAGCATGAACAAATCTATCCCTGCTGCTGCAAGGGTGGTTGAGAGCATATGGCACCCTGGTGCATTCCCCTTGAATTGGCGAGGAGTGGAAGTGTTATGCTAAAAAAGCCTCTGAGAAAGCAGCAGGAGAAAAAAACAACAACAAAGAAATGGAAGTTGAAAATGAAGATCCAAAATAGCCTTTTAAACTATGTTGTCATTACCTATATGCTATAGGTTTGAACAAAGCAAAGTTTTAATGAAAAGAATGAATGAAAAAGAGTGAACAAAACCTCCGAGAATATGGGATTATGTAAAGAGATCAAACATACAACTGATTGGGGTACCTGAAAGAGATGGGGAGTATGGTACTAAGTTGGAAAACATACTTCCGGATATCATCCAGGAGAATTTCCTCAGCCTAGCAAGACAGGCCAACATTCAAATTCAGGAAATGCAGAGATCTCCAGTAAGGTACTCCACAAGAAGGTCAACCCCCAAGACACAAAATCATCAGATTCTCCAAGGTCAAAATGCAAGAAAAAAAAGTTAAGGGAAGCCAGAGAGAAAGGCCAGATCACTTATGAAATAAAACCCGTCTGACTAACAGTAGACCCCTCAGCAGAAATCCTACAAGGCAGAAGAGACTGGGGGCCCATATTCAACATTCTTAAAGAATTTCCAACCTAGAATTTCGTTATCTGGCCAAACTAAGCTTCGTAAGTGAAGGAGAATATAAGATCCTTTCCAGACAAGCAAATGCTGAGGGAATTCATCACCACCAGGCCTGCCTTTCAAGATCTCCTGAAGGAAGCACTAAATATGGAAAGGAAAAGCCGTTACCACCCACTACAAAAACATACCAAAGTACATAGACCACTGACACTATGAAGCAACCAAATAAGCAACTCTTCAAAATAACCAGCTAGCATCATGATGACAGGATCAAATTCACACAGAGCAATAGTAACCTTAAATTTAAATAGGCTGAATGCCACAATTAAAAGACACAGAATGGCAAGCTGGATAAAGAGCCAAGACCCATCAGTGTGCTGTCTTCAAGAGACCCTCTCATGTGCAGACACACACATAGGCTCAAAATAAAGGGATGGAGGAAAATTTACCAACCAAATGAAAACTATAAAAAAAAAAAAAGAAAAACAAAACAGGGGTGGAAATCCTAGTTCCTGACAAAAGAGACTTCAAACCAACAAAGATTAAAAAAAGATGAAGAGCATTACATAATGGTAAAGGGTTCAATTCAACAAAAGAGTTAACTATTCTAAATATATATGCACCCAATACAGGAACACCCAGATTCATAAAGCAAGTACTTAGGGACCTACAAAGAGACATTGACTTCCACACAATAATAGGAGACTTTAATACCTCACTGTCAGTATTAGATAATTGAGACAGAAAATTGTAACAGAGATATTCAGAACCTGAACTCAGCTTTGGATCGAGTGGACCTGATAGCAACAGAATACACATTGTTCTGATCGCTATGTGGCACTTAATGTAAAATTGGTGACATAATCAGAAGTATAACACTCCTCAGCAAATGCAAAAGAACTGAAATCATAACAAACAGTCTCAGACCACAGTGCAATCAAATTAGAACACAAGATCAAGAATTTCACTCAAAACCACACCACAACTACATGGAAATTGAACAGCCGGCTCCTGAATGACTCTTGGGTAGATAATGAAATTAAGGCAGAAATCAAGAAGTTCTTTGAAACTAATGAGAACAAAGAGGCAACGTAGCAGAATCTCTGGGATGCAGCTAAAGCAGTGTTAAGAAGGAAATTTATAGCACTAAATCCCCACACCAAAAGCCAGAAAGATTTCAAGTTACAACAGAACATCTGGAGAACCAAGAACAAACAAACCCCAAAGATAGCAGAAGACAAGAAATAACCAAGATCAGAGCTGAACTGAAGAAGACAGAGACACAAATAACCCTTCAAAAAAAAATCAACAAATCCAGGAGCTGGTTCTTTGAAAAAATTAAAATAAATAGATAGACCACTAGATAGACAAAGAAGAAAAGAGCAAAGAGTCAAATAAACACTATGATAAGGGGGATATTACCACTGACCCTACAGAAATACAGACGACCATCAGAGAATGCTATTAAACACCTCTATGCATATAAACTAGAAAATCTAGAAGAAATGGATAAATTCCCGGACACATAATACCCTCCTACGACCGAACCAAGAAGAAATTGAATTCCTGAATAGACCAATAATGAGTTCTGAAATTGAGGCAGGAATAAATTGCCTACCAACCAAAAACCCAGGAACAGATACATTCACAACTGAATTTTACCAGAGGCACGAAGAAGAGCTGGTGCCATTTCTACAGAAACTATCCCAAAAAATCACAAAGGAGGGACTGCTCCCTAACTCATTCTATGAGGCAAGCATCATCCTGATACCAAAATCCGGCAGAGATACAACAAAAAAAGAAAACTTCTAGTCAATATCTCAATATCCTTGGTGAACATTGATGAAAAAATCCTCAATAAAATACTGGCAAACTAAATTCAGCAGCACATCAAAAGCCTTATCCACCATGATCAAGTTGGCTTCATCCCTGGGATGCAAGATTGGTTCAACATATGCAAATCAATAAATGTGATTCATCACAATAACAGAACTAAGGACAAAAACCACACAGTTCTCTCAATAGATGCAGAAAAGGCCATCAAAAAAATTCAACATCCCTGCATGTTAAATGCTCTCAATAAACTAGGTACTGAAGGAACATACCTCAAAATAATAAGAGCCGTCTATGACAAATCCACAGCCAGTATCATAATGGGCAAAAGCCAGAAGCATTCCCCTTGAAAACCAGCACAAGATAAGGATGCCCTCTCTCACCACTCCTATTCAACATAGTATGGGAAGTTCTGGGTAATCAGGCAAGAGAAAGAAAGAGTATTCAAATAGGAAGAGAGGAAGTCAAATTACCTTTGCAGATGACATGATCCTTTATCTAGAAAACCCCAACATCTCAGCCCAAAGCTTCTTAAGCTGATAAGCAACTTCAGCAAAGCCTCAGGATACAAAATCAGTGTGCAAAAATTGCTAGCATTCCTATACACCACCAACAGGCAAGCAGAGAGCCAAATCATGAATGAACTGCCATCCACAATTGCTACCAAAGAATAAAATACTTAGGAATACAGCTAACAAGGGAAATGAAGGACCTCTTCAAGGAGAACTACAAACCACTACTCAAAGAAATCAGAAAGGACACAAACAAATTGGGAAACATTCCCTGCTCATAGATAAGAATCAATATCATGAAAATAGCCATACTGCCCATGCTCATAGATAACAATCAATATCATGAAAATAGCCATACTGCCCAAAGTAATTTAATAGTTTCAGTGCTATTCCCATTAAACTACCATTGCCATTCTTCACAGAATTAGAAAAAAAACTATTTTAAAATTTACATGGAACCAAAAAAGAGTTGGAGTTGCCAAGACAATCCTAAGCAAAAAGAACAAAGCTGGAGGCATCATGGTACCCAACTTCAAACTATATTATAGGGCTACAGTAACTAAAACACCGTGGTAAACTGGTACAAAAACAGACACATAGACCAATGGAACAGAAATGAAGTCCACACACCTACAACCATCATGATCTTCAACAAACCTGACAAAAACAAGCAATGCAGAAAGGAGTCCCTATTTAATAAATGATGCTGGGAGATCTGGCTAGCTATATGCAGAAAATTGAAACTGGACCCCTTCCTTACAGCTTATACAAAATTAACCAAGGTGTATTAAAGACTTAAATGTAAAACCCAAAACTATAAAAACCCTAGGAGAAAATCTAGGCAGTACCATTCAGGACATAGTCACGGGCAAAGATTTTATGACAGAAATGCCAAAAGCAATTGCAACAAGCAAAAATTGACAAATGGGATCTAATTAAACTAAAGAGTTTCTGCACAGCAAAAGAAACTATTGACAAAGTGAACAGACAACCTACAGAATGAGAGAAAATGTTTGCAATCTGTCCATCTGACAAAGGTGTAATATCCAGAGTCTACAAGAACTTAAACAAATTTACAAGAAAAAAATACCCATTAAAAAGTGGGCAAAGGACATGAACAGACACGTCTTAAAAGAAAACATCCATGCAGCCAACAAACTTATGAAAAAATGCTCACCATCACTGGTCATTAGAGAAATGCAAATCGGAAACCACAATGAGATACCATCTCACACCCATCAGAATGGCCATTATTAAAAAGTCAAAAAACAACAGATGCTGGCCAGGTTGCGGAGAAAGAGGAATGCTTTTACACTGTTGGTGGGAGTATAAATTAATTCAACCATTGTGAAAGACATTAAGGATGACAATTAAGGACCTAGATGCAGGAATACCATTTGACCCAGCAATCTCATTACTGGGTACATACCCAAAGGAATATAAATCATTCTATTATAAACATATATGCATGTGTATGTTCATTGCTGCACTATTCACTATAGCAAAGACATGGAATCAACCTAAATGCCCATCAGTAATAGACTGGATAAAGAAAATGTGGTACATATATACCACAGAATAGTATACAGCCATAAAAAGGAACAAGATCATCTCCTTTGCAGGGACATGGATAGAGCTGGAATCCATTATCCTCATCAAACTAATGCAGGAACAGAAAATCAAACACTACATGTTCTGACTTATAAGTGACAGCTGAATGATGAGAATACATGGACACATGGTGGGAGGGAACAGCACACACTGAAACCTTCTGGAGGAGGGGGTAGGGGGAGTGAGAGCATCAGGAAGAATAGCTAATGGACGCTGGGTTTAATAGCTGGGTGATGGAATGATCTGTGCAGCAAACCACCATGGCATGTGTTTACCTATATAACATATCTGCACATCCTGCAAATGTACCCCAGAATTTAAAATAAAATTTGAAGGAAAAAAAAAAAGTCTAGCAGCCTCAAGTGCTTTGGTGATCTGTAAAGTACTATTATACTTAAAAATATTTTGTATCTTACTACCCATGGTTTTATTATTTTATAATTAACCGTGAGTCGCAATATAATATCTCCTGGCCTGTATACTTGTGAAAGTTGTTTTTAAGGAATCTGGGTAAGTACTACCACTAACAATAATGTAGTAGTAGTGTTTCTTTCTTTCTTTTTTTTTTTTTTTTTTTGAGAGACGGAGTCGCTTTGTCACCCAGGCTGGAGCACAGCAGCGTGATCTCGGCTCACTGCAACCTCCACCTCCTGGGTTCAAGCGATTCTCCTGCCTCAGCTTCCCAAGTAGCTGGGACTACAGGCATGCTCAACCACGCCCATCTAATTTTGTATTTTTAGTAGAGATGGGGTTCCACTAGATGTTGGCCACGCTGGTCAAAAACTCCTGACCTCAAGTGAGCCACTCATCTCGGCCTCCCAAAGTGCTGGGATTACAAACATGAGCCACAGCACCCAGCCAGTAGTAGTATATATTTTAGAGCCTTTGCTGTTTCAAATTATTATAAAAATTATTGATATGTCTTCTAACATTTTTCTGACAGACTTTGATTACGGTTGATTACTAGTGAGGCAGAGCAAATGTTCTTATTTTTCAACTGTGTGTGTGTGTGTGTGTGTGTGTGTGTGTAAAGATGTTCCTGTTAACAAAGATCCTTCCCCCCACTTTACTTATTTTTTGATAAACAGAAAATGACTTTTATTTCATAGGTCTTTTGGCCTGTTTATTGGCCATAGAATTATTATACCTACTAAATGTTTGATGGACATCGGTAAATCCTCTCATACCACTTATCACAGTATCTAGCATGTAGTAGAGATTCAGTACGTAGGTTGAATTTGTAAGTGGAAATGCATTGATCCATTTAGAGCTTAGATGAAGCAATAATTCATCCATTATATGAATCTGTATACCCTTGTTATCAAGAGGGTCCTTTGGTTGATAAATACGTGTTAGTGTGGTTCATGAGAAGAAGTTTTTATGTATAAATTATATGTGCTGTGGTGCCCAGTTAACACCATAGACATTTATTTAGTACGAGCTGTGCCTAAAGCACTGAGGTAGAGAGACACAAAGATTAGTGATATGACCCCTGAGAGTTTCTGAAAGCCCTGGAAAGGGGACAAAAGGGCATTCAAGTGTTACATAACTAGATGGTTATATGGCAGGGTTCTTGACTGAGGATACAAAGGAAACTTTCCCTCCAAAGATGGGAGGGAGGTTAGGGATAGGAAATTACTTAACGGGTACAATGTATACTATTTGGGTGATTATTACACTAAAAGCCCAGGCTTCATTACTACACAATGTATTCATGCAGCAAAATTGCACTTACACTGCCTAAATTTATATAAATAAAAAAAATGAATGCATAGACCTATTTCTCCCCATTTTTCCTGGAAGTTTACATATCACTTTCTTTTGCCAACTCCCCATTGTTCAAATGTGGAAAACAATGAGGTGCCTTTGACCCTGTCTTCTCACTGTCCTCTGTTCCTTTTCAACCCTAGATGGAAAGGAAGACCCTACTATTAGAAACACATCTCAGTAATAGGCAGAGAGTGGGATTTTTATTCTGGGACATATTGTTTTGTGGCTGCCATGTTGAAAAGTAGCAGTTAAATATGATGCCTTAGGAGGTTTGTTCCTGTATTTGACAACCTATTAGGGAATTAGAAAGGGGATGGGATGTTTCAAAATAAATTCCTGTATTTAGAAGTTTTTAAAAGCAGCTGCAGGGATTTCATTTTCAGATGAGGAATCATTTTCATTTAAGCCCATCAGCTAAAATGAGTGCTTAGTGAATAGAAAGCCTGTAACATAAGGCCTCGAGGGCATTACCCCCACTCCACTGAACTCTGAGATTAAGATTCTGTATTCCCCTTCAACCACTTTCTTCATATACCCAAGAGAAGGAATCATTTAAAATGCATCGGTCACCTTTTTAAAAGCGTATTGACTTTAGAAATAATTTGGCATTTGCTGTTTGTAGATGGGAATACAAATTGAAATCAAGTGCTATGTTCTACATTGAGGATTGCTATGTTCCATTGCTGTGTTTCTGACCCATTGGTTTTTACCTAGGGTTTTTAACTGGTTTTCCAGCTTCCTCACCAGGCAGGGATCTAGGCTTCTCCTCTATGCCTTCGACTGGTAAAATCAGAGAGAGAGCCTCCATCAGGGCCCCTTGCCAATCTTCCAGGTATCTACAGTTGCTTAGAGATCTGAGACTCTCTCTTTCCTCACAGGGAAAGGCTATTCCAACCCCAGGGACTGCTGGCCAGTCACTTCCCACTCCTCTCTCCTTAAAAGCAAGGTCCTCAAATAACAACTACTCATGCTGCACTCATTTCCTTACCTTTGAAAGGACATGAGGATCAGATGAAAAAAGCTTCTGAAAGGTGGCTCTCCCGGCTGTCTGAGGAAGTGGAAGTATGAAGATGGATCTAAGAATTTACTCGAACTCCTTTTAACTTCACTGTGGATGGTGGTAGTGTTACTTATACGCAGTGCTGGCACTTGGCTTCTGTGTCAATCATTTTTCTGTTGGTTTGAGGATTCTCTCCATGCACAGAGTCTAATAGATATCCAAAGGCAGTGCATTACAAACCAGAGTCACTCCTAAAAGAAGCTTTACTGTAAAAAGACCATTTTCTTAAAATGAGTTGTAGCAATATAATGTTGCTCAAAAAGAAAACTTTTTCACTCCATGAGAAAGATTCACTATCAGTTACCAAACCTGATGTTTTCTTTGCTAAAGTGAAAAATATAAATACAAACTTGGGCCCATAGTTTAGTGTAATTCTAAAGCTCATCCTTATTGTAAATCTAATGATTGAGAGAACTTTAACATTCATTATCTCTAACTTTCTGATGTTCCAGAAAACTGCAGTCCTATGAGGTTAGCTAATCACTTCAACCTGACTTGGTTAGTGCAAAGTCAAGTACGTAGAACCCGGTTATCAATCTCAGCTCATTGTTTTGTCTTCCGCACTACACTGCCTTTCTTAAAAAGTTATCTTCCTCCACCTAGCACCCCAGTAACCTGTGGCTCTCTTTGTGAAATATCCTTTTTCCATCACTTAAAAGAATTAAATGGAACAACTTCTTATAGTAAGTAATCCAAAAGCCCAAGTGAAAGCTGTGGGTCATCAGATCCCATAGTGTGAGCAAGGAAGAAGACAGAATCTGCCCTTGCTGGCCCTTTATCAGCTCCCAGGATTTGTTGAAGACTTTCATCAAGAAAGCAAGTGACTAGATTAAGTATCCATGCCTTTCATCAGCTGCTGTAGGTCTTGGCAGTGTTACTGCAGTGCTTTCACCCTTCTCATTTGTCCCATCCATTTGAAATACAGTGTACTTAAATTTCCAACAAAATCATAACGTAGACTCCGTCAGTTAATTAAAGTATACTAACAAGCATACAAATTGCTAAGTCATTCTGGGAGGCTATCAGTGCTGGATGTACTTATACATTCAGCACTGGAAACATGCCCTTCCAGTAGTGCACAGCCAGAAATACCAAGCAGGCTTGCAAAGGACAAGATTAACCTTGGCCTCATGGTATTTTGTCTTTCTGCAGGGAAAGGAAGATCATGGAGACAACAATTGCAATACACGGTGGAGAACTCAACACCCCTTGATTAAAAAAAAAAAATAGTTGAATAAAAAAGAAGTTTCCTGAAGGAGTAAGATAGAATTTACCACAGAAAGAAAGTGGTAGTATCTCCCTATTTCAATTTAAGTGTTGTTCCCAGGCAGGTACAAGTACTTCTAAAAAGGCATAGATTAAAGAAAAATGGTATTTGGAGTCATGGTTACTAAATGAAGCTACAGCTCACCATGATCCTTGGGATGAAGACTATGACCCCCAGCAAAGTTACAAAGGATTCTGCTCTGGAATTTATCAACTGCTTTGTTTGTTCTCTTAACAGGTAAAAAATGCAGCTGCCAATGTACTCAGGGAAACATGGCTAATTTACAAAAATACAAAGCTAGTGAAAAAGATAGATCATGCAAAAGTAAGAAAACATCAACGAAAATTCCTGCAAGCTATTCATCAGTAAGTATCATTTTTCATTTTTATCCTGTTGTTGTGTCCTTGGCTTTCAATTTTTGCACTTGTTTATTCTTGTTTCATAAGGAAGGAAAAAAGAAAACATTGTCATGTTTATTCCCAGAAGATGTTATCTGGCAATCTAATCATTCCACAATAAGATCCTGAGAATAACCTCAGTTCCTTTAATGATTAAAAATCACTTATTAGTACTAGAATATTTATTAAAATATCTTCTCAGTTTCTTTTTAGAATAACTTCTGCTGAAATTGTATTTCTTAATTTGACCTATTTATTCAGATAGTTTGCTCTAGGATTTTTTCAGCTTTATTTTCTAAACATAGCTTCAAACATATTTATATGAAAGTAGTGCATATAACTGATTTAGTACTTGAATTTTAAGTTAGTTTTTAATCAGAATTTTGGCTGTGTTCATTTTAAATTTTCCAGTTTGTGTAGACCTTTTACTCTCTTATCATTATTTTAACTTTATCCAGACCACTATTATGGTTTAAGTCCTTCGTTCTGTTCCATTGTTATATAATTAGCATACGCTTTTAAAGTAACAATCTATATCTAGTAAGATGCACTGATAATTTGAAAGCACAGGATCTTTCTCCTCCGGGCTGGCATAATCCTTACTGTAAGTATTATTCATGTGGGTATCGATTGTGATGCCATGCAGACTTGCTCTTAATTCTATATGGAGAAGAGCAGATATGGTCACATCTGTGGCTCAGAAAAGTAGCTTTCCTTATGAAACCTACGAGGGTAGTAATGGAAAGGTGGGTAAATACAAGATGCTTTGGCTATCCAATGAGATTTGTCTCTCAGAGCCAACTAGTATAACAGGCAAGAAAACTCAGAGGCTGCAATTTTTATTTTGCATGTTCAGGTAATTCATATGTAATATGGTACCACTAACATTCTATAGGAAATTACTAAGCATTCATCTTCTACCCTAGAATACAAAACCTGTCCATTGAACTGCCCTGCTTAAATAGATATCACTGAAAATGTAGAATATGTAATTCTGGACAGATTCATTCTTCCATAGAAATTAAAACTCAAGTATCCTGAGATTTATAGTAGAGGCAGGCTCTGCACGTATGGTAGAGTATCTGGCCTTCATTGCTACTCATGGTCTTTCCCCAGCTTTACTAACACACTTTCCTAAGATAGTGATGCTATTTCCTCTGTAGCTCAGTGACTTGACACATCACTATGCTTTTTCTCCCTTTGTAAGGAAAACACAAGGTTAGAGTTTTCAAATAATACTCTTAAAATAAGGAAAAACACAGAAAGGAACATTATATTCCATCTGGCTCACAAGAGGGAACTTGCTCCCTAGACTTACAGTTACCCTTATAACCCAGAACCACCATCCAGGAGCCCTTGCCTAGAAATCTTGATTCCTTGAAGTTTAGATTGAAGAGAATGAGAACCCTCCCTTTCTCCCAACCCAGAGATGCTGAGCTTTCGCCTCTGTGTTCCTTAACCTATTTTCCTGTGGAACAGGCATCTTCCTCAAGGCACTCACCTCACACAACTCTCCTATTAGAGTGGTCTTCCCCTGCTAAAACCATACTACACAGTAACCCCAACACATTCATACAGGAGGTCCAGAGGCCATACCATGCATGGCAAAATCATTTTTTCTACCTTTAATATTTTGGTATTAACCTATATTTAGTATGTTAAAAAGAAACCTTACCTTGGTGCATGTGAGAAGGTATGTATGTCCAGGGTGGAAGGGTATGAGATGACACGGCAGTGAGCAAGTGTGGTCGGTCTGTGTTGAGCAGCCACACATCCCATTGCCTCCAGGATCTTATCTGGGTCCTTTCCTGTCAGTCAGACCTATCAAATGGGTAATTACATGTGATTTACCTTTAATCAATTTTCATATAATAACAAATCCAAGAAAATGCTGTGATAGTTTTTATAGTACGGTTCTGTAGCCATGTGCAGTGGGGATTTGTATTACATCTTGTAATATAAGACTCTTCTGGACTATTATGTTCAGAATACATTCACATTCAAAAGCCTGGGGGAGAATTTAGGGGTTTTTACCGTAAAATGCTTTCAACTTTGCCGTTAGGTTATTACGTTTTTACATTAAAACATTAGAAAAAAAGTATTTGGGGAAGTTTAAAAACTGTCCCTAAGCAAGTTGCAAATGCACCCTACAAGGCATGTCGGCCCTTTCTTAAGGGTGGGTACTGTGGAGTCGCTTGCACGGGGTCTCTTAGCATATTGTGTTTGGATAGAGTGACAGAGGAAGCTACTTGTGATTTTTCTGCTTCTGTCAGATATTTCTTATTCTGTTTCTTCTGTAGCAATGTGTACTTCTAAAGTAGATAAGCTTCAGGCAACTCAGAAATGCTCTGAATTGCTTTATAAATTCATCTAGGGGTTACCGGGTTTCCATTACAGTGGGGGACATTTATACTTCTAAAAGTGTAACTGAGTACGTTTATTCATGCAAGCTTTGTTTGGCTAGATCATTCTAATCATGCATACTTACCTTTCATTTTAGCTTAGTGTTGGAAGTTAGGGAGTGAAGTCATAGGGGAAGCACACAGGGCTCGATTCCTAAGGGCAAGGCTTCCATTGCCCACTGTGCAGATCCAGTGAGACCCTCGGCCTTATCTGTCGGCACTGGGTACAATCAGACCTTACTAGCTGAAGAAAAATGTTAAAATTCATTCGATAGATCACTCCTGGCCTCTCCTACTCTCTGATTTATCCTGAGCACTTTTTCAGCAGCTCTCTGCTTCTACCAGTCCATGCTATCTCAACTCTGTTTCTCTTTTCCAAACTTCATAGCCTCTCTACTCTGTTGGATGCTGAACTGTCCAGGCCTGTGCCCTCTTTTCAGTAATTGTCTTTTTAGATTGTCACTTAGTGTCGTGAAGTGTTCTCTTTCTCTAACTTTTAACGCTTTTTCTGGTAGCAACTTTCCCTTTAAAGTTTATCATTCTTTTATCTCAACTATGGACCAACATGAATTTGTTTCAGAACCAAGAAATCCAATCTACTTGATTTGTATATCATGAGAGTTGGATTACCTGCCTTTCAGAAACCCCAGGCTTCTGAGTTGTCCTAATTTGGAAAAGATGTACCCCCCCAAAAAAATTACAATGCCTTTGTTTCAAATATTGTTCTTTTAACCATATCACATTCATATTAGGCAAAAATATTTCTTGTTGTTTACTTGAACATCAAATATCAAGAGGCCATGATGACTTTATGCATGCTCTTCCTTCTGAACTCTTATTCAGGAGGAAGCTGAGTGCTTACAGATGGGAAAGTATAGTAGCAATGAAGAAGGATAATTGGATAGTGTTTCTCTTTGGCCAATATTTCAAAATCCTGCAGAACCATAACAGGATCTTCCAGCTAATGAATCGAGCCCCTTGTGCACAACTGAACACCACATTGTGTTATTTTGTTCCAGAATATTTTACAGTTTCTTTTCTTTTGTTTTGTCTTTTTATTTCAACAAAATGAAAATAGAGCTCGGAAGTAAGTTGTGTGAGCCGCTCCTTTCAACATTTGCAGAATTTTCTACTGGCTGCATGCACCCAGCAGATCCTTTATTTGTGAATTTTAGTAGTCTGATTGCTGCTATGGAAATGTGATCCAAAATCATGATATTTTCCTGTGATAAGTGAAGTTCACAAGGAAGAAATCAACATATGTTTCTTTTTCTTTTTTGGGGGGAAAAGTGTAATACACATCTGCATGTTACCTTTTATTCTGGCAGCTGCAGCTTAAGCAGGCTTTTTCTATCAGCTCTCCTACATTACAGGCAGTATAAGAAACAAACAACAAGACAAGATGATTCAAGTTCCGATAGCTAAAGGAATTCCAATCAAATAAGGCTACTGTATGTCAGCTTTCCAGATTAGTAGAAAATAAAATGGGCAAAATTCTACTGTCAGACATAGTATAGTAATCCAAGAGAAGTAAATTAGGCCCCGTTGTTTATAAGATGAAGTACCCACTTAAGCTAAGAAACTGCCACTGGCCCTTCTAGCCTGACTTACAGAATTCAGGACTTTCTCTGTACTCATTACTTGCTGGAGGCATCTGGTCCAGAGCCCAAACTTCAGTCATTTCTGTGCCACTAATACTATAACTTACTTAAATTTGAACATGAAACTTTATACAAATTCCTTTATACAAATGTTAATCCATTTTTATACAAATGGATTAAAAAATATTACGAAGAAAGGTAAAGGTAATCGTCAATTGATAGTTGAAACACCGATATTGAATTCTAGCCATAGGCTGTTGCCTGCAGAAAGCTCTGAGCTGAGATTCTGCTTTTTCTTTTTTTTTTTTTTTTAAAAAAAGAAAAAAAAAAAAAAAGCAGGTGTTAGGAGATAAAGACAGAGTAGGACCAGACTATGATGTTTTTCTTGCAGTAATGAAGAATTAGAAGAGAACTAAAAGGATTAACTGTTTTCCATCTTAAGTATCACTTAAAGGCATCTAGAATACCTCTGTTGGTATGAATCCAGCAGTGCAGAAACATTTCTCTAATCTAACACACTTCATTTCATATGTGAGGAAACTAAAGGTCCAGTTAGAGTAAGGATGGAATCCACTGTTGTACACTGCTCTTTCTTTAGTACACTTCTGCGTAATGACCCACGGATGTCTAAGTGTTCTTTTTAGGGGGTGTAGGGTGGGGGCAGTTGCCTGTTTTTCAAAGGCACACATCAAAAATTGTAACCCTATTAATTACTGAGAGAAATCTTTCTCAACAATATATTGGATCTAAATACATGCTTGTAAATTTTAGACTAGGACATATTCCATCTCTGTAATAGCATAAAAAGGAGCCAATTAACTTCGTTCCAGCATTCTAATAAATACATAGTCACAATGAGAAGTTATAACCTTAAACTGTTGTAGATTGTTAAAGATCGTGTTGTAGGTATGTGTCAGCTAAACTTACTGGCAGAAGGCACTACATCTTCACTGTAGAGCAGATTTGGTGACATATTGGATATCCTAGTTTCGGAACAAAATCACTGAACATTATGAACGTATTACAAAATCTCCCTGGCAGTAAAATCTTGCCCTGTGAGTTTTTATTCCTTCTACATAATTACCTTTCATTTCAATTGAAAAATAATAAAAAATTCTCTCTCTAGCATTAAAACTATACTTTGTAAAATGACTTGTCATCAAAGCAAAATAAGATTGGCATGACTTTTTGTTTGTTTTCATTAAATAGTTTAGAAGAACCTACTTCTCTTTTGGGAAAAAGCTTTTAATTGTTAGCTTAAGGAACAATAAACCACACTTCTCTTATTGGAAAATCTTTCTTGGTACATAGTAAACACTGAATAAATATTTGTTGAAAAATAATATAGTAAATAAAGTTAAAGAATAGCAGAGTTCTTACCTACAAGTGTTTTTTTAATACCGTTTTTTGACTCTTAATTGACTCTTCATCAGGTATATACAATGATATTTAACAGTAGCTAAACATAATCTTACAAGTAGAGATTCCATCTGCCAGATACTATAATTGTCCTCTGACTTTTATCTACACTGAAAATGGGAATTTTTCCTAGGAAATGGTCTGGCCTCCCTACAAATTTAATGGCAGTTCAAGATAAAAGTTAAATGAAATACAATGAAGAATAAGATAATAATTATGTGTTTTGTGTTATATTGCTGCTGGTTGAATAAAAGTTTTTTTTTTTGTTAATAAGAATCTCACTTATCACTGTGTTTTCATCAGGTTCAAATACCTAACCCAATCCATTTCGGACTAAACAGGGCTAATACCTGTATCTAATCATGTAGGCATAGGAAGGTGCTCATTGCTCCAACATCAATGAAATTCCAGTTGCTTTGCATATTTCTTCCTATGTCTATGTGTCATGATACTGGGGCTTTAAGGAATGTTTTGGCTTTTTCTCATATGGTTAAATCCTTATGAGTCTTTCTGAATTCAACTTTACCTGGTAAATAGTTGTCCTAAGGACATCTCATCTCTTGCTCTCACTCTCTCCTTTCTTTTTTGCGGTGTTGGGGAAGCATGCTTCTCATTGTACCAGACACATAACCAGTTTGGACTTACCCCAAATGTTCAAGGCATTATCCATGCAGTTATTTGCTCTTGTCAATTTTGTGCATGCTCTTTGGAAGGCATAAGATTGCCATAGGAAGAAGGGAACCTTTCTGATACCAGATTCTATCTTTTAGATTAAGAAGTGTAAAAATGGAGCAGAGGAAACTGAATGACCAAGCAAACACTTTGGTGGACTTGGCAAAGGTAAGCCTGAGGTGCTTAGCCCTCCTAGTTGCATCTGTTGAAATCAACCACTTCACAGTCACTAATCATGAATGTTTCAAGAGGATCCCAACCCAAATCTAATTAATAAATCAAACCAGCAAAGCACCCTAAAATGATGGTCCAACTTAAAAGAATGTTTCTGTAACTCTCATTTAATGTACTCTTTCCCTATTACGTTATTCAGCCCCATTCTGAAAACATTCCTAGTTACAGTGATTTGGAAGTACCATAAGAAGCTTAAGTGGAATAGGAGACAATACATGCGGGATTTTTATTTGCATGTAAATCTCATCTCAATGAGAGCAGAACTGCATCCTAGGTGTGACTGTGATATTCAGGAATGAATAGGACTCATCAATTAAATTTTGTCCTATGTATTTTAAGCAAACTCAAAAGAATGTAAAGTTGAAATAAAAATAAAAGATACCAGAAATTACATCCTAGAATGAAAGTTATCACCCTAAAGTGATCACTTTTTTATGGTTCTTTCTCCATTTCATTATTTCAAAATCATACCACTTTTTAAAAAGTACATTAACAGTCTCCAAATTATTCTACCTTATTTATAATATTTATCTGATCAATGTTTAGTTGTTTCTCCCCACATAAAACCCATTCTTAAAACATAAATATTTGTCAATAATCAAAACATTGCATTTTCCTGGGTGAATTCTAAAGGTGGTATTAGAATAGCATTTATATAATTGTTCAGCCTTTTACCCAAATGCTTTGAAAGAGGCAACTCTCAGTTGCATCTTACAAACTGTTTTTTTTTGTTTGATAAATCAGACATGACTTTGCTAAAGCCTCAAGTATAATCCATAAAAATTACAAGTATTTGTCCTAGTCTCATTAAATAATGCATCTAAATTACATTCATTTTAATGTATAGCAGTAACACATACTAGATGTTGAAGACAGTAAGTATTTAATGACTTACCCTAGGAGAGCATATATCATGCATATAAACTGGACAGCACACATATAAAAAGTATGAGGACATCCTCGATTAACGTGTATAAATGTGGCTGTTACTTGGACATATGAAAAAAAGATAGGGCAAGCTCCATCACTCCTAGGTTAAATGATTTTTAATGGGTATTTTTATGAAAAAATGAACAGACCACATTGAAATATGATGTGGAGATGTAATTTTACTTCAAGAGTACCACTGTGAGGCAAGATGCTGTTTCTTTATTAATGTACTTATTATGACCACGGGACTGTACATACCATAAAGGCTCAGTATTTTCTTAAATGAATGGATGCTGTTCACATATTCTCAAGACTATGTAGTAAAATTAAGTGTATGCACTCTGTCTCTGGTCAAACTGAAACAAGGTGCCTATATTCTGAATAATAACTCCCTTATCAGTTCATTTACCATCTTTAAAAGATTGTTAAGCAGAAGAAGAGCATATGATAGAAGGGAAATGCAGTAGGAGGGACGGCTTAAATAAAGGGATCTCAGACTTGGGAAAGTCTGCACTAAACTAAGATTAAAACCTTTTCCTCCCTCTTTGCCAGCCTTTTCCCTGTCTAGCTCTGAGCTGATCAGTCCTCTCTCTTTGTCTCTTGGCTACTCAGGAAATATACCTAGAAATCAGAGTTATGGATACCCTGTGATCAAGACAATCAATTTCAAGGTTCACTAGGAATCCAGAAACATTTTCCTGTTTTAACCACTTAGCTTTGATTAAGCCATAGCCAGGAGGTCAGAGCCATGGCCAACAAGGTAGACTGGTAACTTCAGTATCTCCCTTAACTAATATTCTCTCAATGGGTTATCTGTAAAAATTCCATTTGACCCAATGGAGAGAGGCCTGTAATTTGGAACAAAGGATAACAAACAATCTTTAGGAATTTATTGCTTTAAATTACAAAATTATCAAACCAGTTAATCCTAAACTTCATTTATATTCTACCCTCAACATTTCTGCTACATCCCAATGCCATCTGTATTATTATTTATCCCTCTGTATTATTTATTGTTCTTTGCCTCTGCCCATTTTTTAAAAATTACCCTTGCCCTAATTAACAAACATGTTGCAAAATGAATTTGATGTACTAACCTTTGTGACAACCTTTAAAATACATATATAAATATTCAATTGAAATGTTTTTGTCTATCCTGATACCACCTAAAATCAATGGGCATGCCACCAGTAGCAGTACCTGCTCCACATTTTCTGCAACTGAACCAAAGATCTTATATTTCGATTATAAATCCTGGCATTGAACACATACAATGAGTTGGCTTTGCAAGATGAGCTGTTCAGTTAGCTGACACCCCTGTTACACTGAATGCCACCAGCAAGAGACCAGAGCTAAACCTCTGAGAGGTGGACAGTTTGTGTTCAGGGCAAGTATAATTAACCTTCTTCTCAATCCTGTTTTTCAGACCCAGAACATCATGTATGATATGATTTCTGACTTAAACGAAAGGAGTGAAGACTTCGAGAAGAGGATTGTTACCCTGGAAACAAAACTAGAGACTTTGATTGGTAGCATCCACGCCCTCCCTGGGCTCATAAGCCAGACCATCAGGCAGCAGCAGAGAGATTTCATTGAGGCTCAGATGGAGAGCTACGACAAGCACGTCACTTACAATGCTGAGCGGTCCCGGTCCTCGTCCAGGAGGCGGCGGTCCTCTTCCACAGCACCACCAACTTCATCAGAGAGTAGCTAGAAGAGAATAAGTTAACCACAAAATAAGACTTTTTGCCATCATATGGTCAATATTTTAGCTTTTATTGTAAAGCCCCTATGGTTCTAATCAGCGTTATCCGGGTTCTGATGTCAGAATCCTGGGAACCTGAACACTAAGTTTTAGGCCAAAATGAGTGAAAACTCTTTTTTTTTCTTTCAGATGCACAGGGAATGCACCTATTATTGCTATATAGATTGTTCCTCCTGTAATTTCACTAACTTTTTATTCATGCACTTCAAACAAACTTTACTACTACATTATATGATATATAATAAAAAAAGTTAATTTCTGCACATACTCGTTTGGTCACTTGACATTTCTAAAGCTTCACTTCTCATATTATTTTCAAGGTAAAATAGCGGATTATCATCTGATGCACACTGATAATTTTGATAGCCAAAAGTTTGGCTGGTTGGAAAAAAAGACTTTCAATTCCTCTATACCCTACTCCTAAGATTTTTCTCTTGTTATGAATTATTTGCATCAATCATTTGAACCAGCATAGCTTATTATTTTTTTGTTTGCAGTGTCTCATTTTTAATTCAATTTTTTTCAAAATGTAGAAAGTCTTTTATCAGAACATATACAAATAAGGAGGAGAGATGCTTTCAAGAATTTTTTAATTCCCAGTTTACACCACTGGGTACACCCAGTGGTACACCACTGTCTGTAAACAGATGGTGCAGAATTTTAGTTCTAAACTAGTTATTTCATATCTTTCCCTTTATTTATTATGAAAGGCCAAGCATGCACTTTTTGAATGTTTGGGGCCTACCTGTGTATATTCATAGATACATGTTGGCATACAACAGCATAGTGAATATACATAAGCCTAACTCCTAACATATCCTCTAGTAAGTGATCTCCTCTTGGTCTGTACGTACATATTTAACACATGTCAATAGCATCTAGTAAATTTCACGTGTTTTAGGACACTTGTTTCATGGATGGTTAAGGTCAGTTTGTGTGAAAGAGAACTGAGTGGTTATTGCTACAAACCTATCTGTTTGCAAATTTGCTCTAAGAATCCACTGGGTTTAGAAGAACCGTGTGTGAGATGATAGCAATACGGAATTTCCTCATGTGGTGTTATTCCCAAGAGTGTACAAGAAAGCTGATGGTGGTAGGGATAATGCGTCTTAAAAATAAGGCTTCGTTTGGACAGCTCTGAAAGCAATCTGCTTGTATCAGCCTAAACCTAAAAATACTCCATTTTCAGGGCAATCTGTTTCAGAAGCTTTTGTCCCCCCCCCCTCCACTTCATTTGATACCATACCCTTTGGTGTCAGCCTTACAACATTGCAAGTTGCTAGTATAATATGTTTTTCCTTCTTTAGCACAAACTGGAGTGATATATTTGATCCACCCTACATAGTCCAATGGATAAAATAACATTCATAACATTCTTCATAATTAATTAAAAAACCAAACAGTTCCTTTCAATATCAAGGATATAAAACTGATGGCTTTAGATTGCATGAGAACCACTTGCCATTTACTATCTATCCAAAATGGCTGAAACTGAAGCCCATTCATGTGGCTTATATATGCCTGTGTTGGATAGAATGAGGCCTGGAATTTTTTTTTATTTATTTATTTATTTTGATAATAAGTGGAAGAAAAACAGAACACTGGTTATAGAAACATACTGCCAGGTTAAATGAACATCAAGATCCTACTTTATCAAGATTTCTACTTCATGGATGAAATTAAAATCTCATTTTATGTATTTTGGGTTACATGCAAGAATATATCAAGCATTTGTTATAAACACTGGATGTAAGGAGAAATTTTGGAAAAAAATATTAATTTGTTCTTACAATTTATGTAGTTAATTCTTGTATCTTCTACCTTTGTTGTGACTAAAAGGCAGAGTAGCAGCTGAAGTTTATCATCTTACAGATCAATGAACACTATCACCCCAGAACACTAGGGGACTAGGGAAAAAATAATGTATTGCTTCTCTGTCAAAGATGAGAGAAGACAAAGATTTTAATTTATATTTCTTTGCCTTGCATTTATTCTCTTCTTTTTAACTGTAGCTCTTCTAGAATAAGTTACTCTGTTATCCTTCAAAATCAATTTTACATTTCCTATTCTATGCAGAGTATATGAAAACTGGTAAATATTAAATCTTTTATTTCTATTTTTTAAATGCTAAATAACCACAGTTTTAAAAGGAGGAGGGGACCCCTCGGTTACATAGACATTCTGGCCTGTGACTTGCTGAATCAACCCCACTTTAGGCAGAGCTACCAAGTCTCCTCCCAAATGGCTTTGAACATTAGGCAGAGTCCTCTGAGGGCTGCTTAGAGGACTGCTCTTGTGGTGATAAATGCCCTTACTTGCATTTTGCTTTTCAGAATTCCTAATAATGATTGAGTTCTGTTTGTCTCATCTCAGCCTGCCACACCCTGGTCTGTTTCTCTACAGCCAGCACAAGCCATTTGGCTTCTGCAAATCATTTTAAATTACAATGGCACCACCTTCCTCAATAATTTTCTTCATTTCCTCCACTTATACTCAGTGTCGAGGTTAGTCACTAGAAAGAAGACCCTGTGCTCTTACAGAAATGAGGATGAGCCAAATGCATAACAGGTACTAAATTTTGGAAATTTCATGTGCTTTCTCCCTAGTTTCTCCTCCCTTTCTGTTTGTTTTCCAAGAGTCTCTGCATCAAAACATCTACAGTAATCAAGTAATTATGCTCCAAAACAGAATTTGTGAATTCTGATAAAAAGCTAGGGGTTAGGGTTAATATGAGCATCGAGCAATGGATTAAATAATACAGTCCTCCTATTTTTGAGCTTTGCTCAGTTTTGAGAAATAGCATGGCAAAGTGGAAGGAGTCAGACTTGGGTGTGGAACTTAGCCCTGCCGCTCACTAGCTCTGTGCACCTGAACACCATTGATTCTCGGAGACTTTTGTTTTCTCATTTGTAAAATGAGCCTAAAAAGACACAGATATTGGAGGGGCAGGGCGGTCTGCAAATCCTGGCATCTATTTCATTAAATGATTGTAGTTACTTGTATTACTACTTACAGCAAAAGGCAGCAAATATTAAACACCTCCATTATCTGCTTATCTTCTAACTTTTAGCACCCGACTGTATATATATATATATATTCTCCCCCCTCACTTGTCTAGTTCATTCTTGAAGCAAGTTACTGGAATCCGGATTAGCATATCCATTTCCTTATCCTATCACTGTTTAATATAACCTAGAAAATCAATATGTATGTATCCTTTTTGTGATTCTGACATACTCCCTCTCTGCTTCTTGGAATTCCACAAAATCTGTTCATAAATATGATCCAGGAAAGTAGAGGGCGTTTGTTTAGGGAGTGCTGGGAAGGTCACCTGAGAGTTGGACCAAAGGGCTCATTTACTTTTTCAAACCCATCCCTGTAGGTCCTGAGCCTCCACCCACTGCTCCTAGTCTGTGTAACACACCCTGATGCCATTTATGTGTTTTAACTTGGGGACCCCAACCCTGGGGGCCTGGCCAGTTAGGAACTGGGCTGCACAGCAGGAGGTGAGCGATGGTACAGCAAGTGAAGCTTAATCTGTATTTACAGCCACTCTGCATGGCTCTCATTACCACCTGAGCTCTGCCTCCTGTCAGATCAGTGGCAGCATTAGATTCTCATAGAAGCACGAACCCTATTGCGATTGCGCATGTGAAGGATCTAGGTTGCGAGCTCCTTATGAGAACTTAATGCCTGATGATCTGTCACTGTCTTCCATCAGCCTCAGATGGGCCCTTCTCATTGCAGAAAACAAGCTCAGGGCTCCTACTGATTCTACATTATGGTGAGTTATTTCATTATATATTACAATGTAATAATAGAAATAAAGTGCACAATAAATGTAATGCACTTGAATCATCCCAAAACTATCGCCCCACAACCCCCAGTCCAAGGAAGAACTGCCTTCCACGAAACTGGTCCCTGGTGCCAAAGAGGTTGGGAACCACTATTTTAACTGAATTTTCAAGCAATCCACTAAGAAAAAATTTATCAAACTGGTTGTTTGATAAATAAAATCCTAGGAGATGTTGAGAGACCTGGAAGACCCTGCCATAAGCGGTATGATACAAAGGACTTCTCTCCATCTCACTGTCACTACTGCTACAGCCCTGATGAACATGATCTTTTTCAGTTTGTTAGATTAGGGAAGGAAAAAAATGCCCTGTCAATGCTGCTCTCTAGTTCTTCTGTTAAATATGTCACGAGTCAGCGAACCCAGAAATAGAAAACATAGATTATAGTTTCCCAGGTATTTTTAGAAATACTTAGAATTTGTTCCCCCGAGAAAATGCCTTTTTCTCCAGTTATGGTTTCCTCAGCCCCAAGGCCCGTGCTCCCTAAGTGGTAGTATGGAGTGGAGGCTGCTACTCAATTGATGAGAAATTACTATGGCTGGGCTCAGTGGTATGTAGCCTATAGTCCCAGCTACTCAGGAGGGTGAGGCAAGAGGATAGCTTGAGGCCACAAGTTTGAGACCAGCCTAAGAAATACAGCACCCCATCGCAGAAAGCAAGAGCAAGAGAGTGAGTGAGAGAGAGGAAAGAAAGGAGAGGAGGAGGAAAAGAAAAGGAGGAAGAGGAAGAAGGAAAGGACGGAAGGAAGGAAGGAAGGGAGGGAGGAGGAAGACTTACTAGGGCTACAGTGTCAGGAGTACTATATTAGACACTTACGTAACCTTAGGTCCAGCTAAAAGTTGTGTCTAAGGGAGGCTGTGGTCAGCAGATTGTGGCCAAGCAGAGCAGAACAGAGAGACACTTTGTTCGAGTTTTTCTACTCTGTTAATAACTTGCTTTCCCTGCGCCTCTTAGGAAAGCAGTCTCTCTCCATAACCCAACTCTTTTCATCTCTGTTGGAGACAGGTCTCATTTAATCCTTTAATTCCTGCATCAGCCCTATGTTTATTTCCATTTTACAGATGAAAATACTGGAGGGAGTATCTATTTCTAAAATGAGTTAAAGGAAATAAGTTCCTTTCTCAAAAACTTAAATTATCAATTTCCCTGGGGTTTCCTTCCCTGCCCCCCACTCCCAAATAAAGAAGCCTATAAACAAGATAATATTTCTCATTTGTCCATCCTGTCACTTATAAAAATATTTGAGGACAGTGAATATGCAGTGTCCTCTCCTAAGGTAAAAAATATATATATATTTGCAGACTCTGAACTGGTTCAGCTGAAAGGAAAAGTACACCTGCCCAGTGGGAGATTATGTGGGTCTGAGTCATAAAAGAAAGAATCCAACAGATCACAGAACGCACTCAGTGTTGCGCCCACATTTGGAGGTGATGCCACCTGTTACCTCTGCTGAAGCTGGGTCAGGCAATGAACCCTCAGCCATCCAGGCCCATCACCTCCCCTGCTGAAGAGACTGTGGCCACCAGACCTCCTTAGGTGGTTGGATGAGGGATGATACAAGATACTAAGATGAAGTCCAAACTATATCTTCACTGTAGAGGAAAAATCAAAATGGCTTTGGTAAGAAAATATTTGGCATAATGTGTACCAAAATCCTTCTGGCCATAATATGCTAAGTCTACATTATTTTGCCTAATAATACCTGTACCATCTACCATCCCTTCAGAGTGGGCTGGAGTGAACCCACATGCTCAAGCACATTTTATATGTAGAACCTGAAGAGACAGGCCTATTCTGGGTAGGCCTTCAGGTTCTACATATAAAATGTGCACAATTCCATGTTGTACATGAACCTAATTCTTCCTCTATCTCATTTCCTCCCACTTTTGTCTTATTGCTTAAATGGAATTGTTAGGTTGAACATTCATATTTTTGTGGGCTTTGGGAATGCAAGGCTAAAATTAGCCTGTCTTTCTGTTGGATAAGATCACACAGCCTCAGAGAGGAAACTAACAATGAATAGATAAAAGCACTTTAAATTAACCAACAGTTTTATTTTTGAGTTTATAGGAGGAAGTTATATACTATGAAGAAATACTGGCATCACTTAAATATGATTGCGTAAGGAGCTTTTCCCTTTATTTTTCTAAAAACCTATTTATACGTGTTCTGAAACATTTTAAGGGAGTTTGAAAATTATAAGTGTCTTTGACAGGGATCGCTGATAGCAAAGGTCTTAAAACAGGTTGCTGTGGGGAATAAAAATATTAGGTGGACATTTCCTAGTAAATGTGAAGCAGCCCAAGTGGGGAATCCTTTGTATCTTCATGAGATTCCTATCCCCTCTCTCTTTTAGAAAAAGCCACAGTAAGAGAATATTTCTTCTGTATAAATAATAGAGAGGACTTGAAAATTAGCAAAAAGCGGAATATTGCTAAATAACTTAAATGATTAAATATTTAGAGGGAAAAAACCCCTTTGCAAAGGCATTTAATGAAAACTTATTTACATACATAGGAGAATAAAGGTAATGACACGCTCTTATTCTTGACTTTGATAATTTAAAAACTGTAAGTAAAAACTATTTTGGAAAGACAAAAAAGGCAAGAAAGCATAAAAAATAAAAAAGTGAGAAAGCACAAAGCAAGAAGATGAAACCTAGTAGCCTAACAACAAGTACCAATAGTTTAACTCACCCATTTAAAGGATAGAAAATACAAGCTTGGGTTAAAAATAAAATAAATATATATGCTTTTTATGAAAGAAATGTAAAATAAAATGGCAGGTCAAACTAAAACCCAAGTTCCAGGGGAGAATTCAGGCTGGTCCAAACAAAAAAGTGGTAGCAATGTTCATTCAGACTAAAGCAAATCAAATGAAAAGTATGAAATCACAAAAAGATGCCATGTTACACTGATAAACATTCAACTGATACTGAAGAGAAAGCTGCACGAAGTGTATGCACTAAATAACACATATAAGTTAAAACTCTCAGAAATAAAAGGAAAAGCATAATTGTGTGGGAGACTTGAAGATCTCTGCAGCCTATACAGATCAAAAGGTAATAGACCAAAAATATAGTTTTTCAAAAACCATTACCAAAATTGGCCCAAGAACTAGTAGAAATATGAATAGAAAAATAACCATAAAAGAAATAGAAATGTAGTCAAAAATATAACAAGTCAAAAAGCACTCATACCAGTTGCTTTGAAAGAATACTTTGCATTTTATATAAAATCTCCCTGAGAATTAAATAACATAAAGTTAGCCAACTTATTTTACTAAGTATATGACCCTAAAGTCATAACTAGGCAAGGAAAACGTAAGATAAAGCTACAAACCAATCGACATCGAAAGTTGCGTGTAAGAATCCTCAATATAATATTAGAAAACCATATCCAGTGCTATATTAAGACAATAATACAGCATGACCAAGAAAGTTCAATCAGCCTTTCAAAAATATTAAACCCTAATAATATAATCACAGCATGTAACAGAGTAAAGACAATCATATAATTACTTCAGTCAATACTAAAGCTACATCTGATAAGATTCAACACTCATTCAAAAAATATTTGTAGTAAACTAATAAGATAGAGGAACTTATTTAATTTGATAAAGCATATCTGCAAGATACGAAGTAACAGCAAAACTCTAGACATAGCCTCCTTACTGACAAGAAGGAGGATGCCCAGCATCATCACTACTGTTCAACACTGTGCCAGAGCCCCAGCCAGTGCCCCTTCACACTGCTAAACTTCACACTGTTACTCTACACCCAGATGATCAAGATCCAAGCCTGACACACACACATGCACGCACACACACAGTTCAGGAGGATTTTTTTTATGACTTTACAGTATGTGAGACCTTCTCACACAAGACAGAAAAAGCAAAAGTCATAAAGGAAAAAATTTAAACATTTGCTTTTGGCAAAATTAGAAAGTTTCTGATATAAGGTAAAATTATAGGAGAAAAATGTTTACAATACTATATGACAAAAAGGCATTTTTATTCAGAATATACACATGTAGATGGATATGGATATAATAGTATTAGATAGATAGATAGATAGATAGATAGATAGATAGATAGACAGATAGATAGATAAAGATAGATCTCTATCTCTCTGTATGGACTATCCATCTATCCATAAGTAAAAGACAAAAATCTGGTAGGAAAACAGCAAAGTAAAGGATTTCTACAGCCTACTCACAAAAGAGGCAATAAACATGTGAAGAATACCAAACCTACTGATAATAAGAGAAATGTGCAGTAAGACACCAATAAGGCATTATTTTTTCCCAGTAGACAAAGTGTTAACAGTATAACACACATTAGTACGGAATAGGTAAGGGGAACTAGGTTTCTCATATACTACTAGTCTGAATATTCGTAAACTGGTTCAAAGCTATTTAAGACCACCTATTAAAATTTAAAATGCATATACCTGCTTTGGAAAATTCTCAAATTTCCTTTTTAAGACTGAAAAATAAATAAGTAATAGATGGTGTTTCCCTTTCCTGAGAGAAAGACAAAACTCACAAACTTTGTTAGCAAGTGAGACAAGGTCTGTGTCTACTGCTCCCAGAAGATCAGTCTCTATTTGCCAGCAAATGAAGCTACCAGGACACTCATTATCGGAGGAGAGAGAAACATCAAAACACTTCCCTATTTGGTGTCACTTGCAGAGAGAGAGAGAGAGACACTGCGTGAGATAGAGAGAGAGAGAGAGCGAGCGCGCGCGAGCGAGCGCCAAGACACTTGGACCAAGTGCAAAGTGTTTTTCTATTGCCATATTACTTCATAATCAGAATACTATTAAATAGCACTCTCATATTTCTCACAGTCTTTTCAGACCTCTAGTGAAGATTCCTCTCAAGGCTCCAGGCAAGAGGAACCTGTGCTTTCAGCCTAGCGTTTGCAAGGATCTTGCATATCACACACAGTGAAACTTAGGAACATGTATCTTGATGTTATTCTCTTCAAACATTTTAAATAAAGCGTAGTAAAACACCCCTCAAATGGGAATTTCAGGAGAGGAATTATTGTGCCAAATTATCCCTGCAATCCCAGGCCAGACTATAAAGACCTGGGGACATAAACATGTATTTTGAGCTGGGAGGAGGGAGGAAGTAGATAGTTTTTTGTCCCTGGTAAACATTCGCACAATCCCACCACTCAGTCTCTTGTTTAGAGTAACACCAGCACCTATAGCCATGCTGGAAGGTCTGTGAACTTTTAACTGCAACTGTGCTTTTAATATCTTTTTAATTCCAAATGTCTTTAAATAGAGAAACTGCTGAATAAATTGTTATAAATACACAAATTAACAACTTTAAAGTATTTGGAAGATCTAAAGTTACTCCCCTAGAAAGATCCTTAAGATATATTAATATTTGTTAGCAATAAATACAAACTTCAGAACATTACTAAGAGTAGTAATAAGGCACTATACTGGAAGACTTAGATAATGCATTTAGGCAAATGTCATTAGAGCTGTAAGAAAACTATCAAAGCTTTATTTTCAAATATTATAAAACAATTTGACAACTCCACAGAATCAATAATAACAATAATTCAAATGATACCAAAATTCAGCAAGTTAATGGGCATAAAAATAGCATGCAGAGATTGAAACTGAACCCATTCCTTACACTATATACAAAAATTAACTCAACATGGATTAAAGACTTAAATGTAAAACCAAAAACTATAAAAAACTCTGGAAGGCAACCTAGGCAGTACCATTCTGGACACCGAAATGAGCAAATATTTTGAGAAGACACCAAAAGCAACTGAAAGAAAAGCAAAAATTGATAAATGGGATCTAATTAAACCAAAGAGCTTCCGCACAGCAAAGGAAACTATCAACCGAGTAAACAGACAACCTATAGAATGGGGGAAAATTTCTGCAAGCTATGCATCTGAGGCCTGCTGTCCAACATCTATAAGGTTTGCTGTCCAGCATCTATAAAGAACTTAAACACATTTATAAGAAAAAACAAACAATCCCATTAAAAATTGGGCAAAGTTCATGAACAGACACTTTACCAAAAGAAGACGTACATGCAGCCAACAATCGTGATAAAAAGCTCAACATCACTGATCATTAGAGAAATGCAAATCAAAACCGCAATGAGATGCCACCTCTCACCAGTCAGAATGGCTATTAATAAAAAGTCAAAAAATAACAGATGCTGGTGAGGTTGTGGAGAAAAAGGAACATTTACACGCTGTCAGTGGGAGTGTAAATTAGTTCAACCATTGTGGACTACAGTTTGGAAATTCCTCAAAGACCTAAAGATGGAAATACCATTCAACCCAGCAATCCTGTTACTGGCTATATACCCAAATAAATATACATCATTCCACTATAAAGACACATGCATGTGTATGTTCATTGCAGCACCATTCACAATAGCAAAGACATGGAATCAGCCTAAATTCCCCATCAGTGGTAAACTAGATAAAGAAAATGTGGTACATATATACTATGGACTACTATGCAGTCATAATAAAGAACAAGATCATGTCCTTTGCAAGAATAAGGATGGAGCTGGAGGTCATTATCCTTATCAAACTAGCACAGGAACAGAAAACCAAATATTGCATGTTCTCACCTATAAGTGGGAGCTAAATTATGAGAACACATGGACACAAAGAGTGGAACAACACATGCTGGGGCCTATTTGAGGGTGGAAGGTGGGAGGGAGGCAGAGGATCAGGAAAAGTAGCTAATGAGTTTCTAGGCTTAATACCTAAATGACAAAATGGTCTGTACAACAAACCCCTAAGACCCAAGTTTATCTATATAACAGACAAGTTTACCTATATGACACAAGTTTACCTATATACCTGCACATGTATCCCTGAACTTAAAAGTTAAATTTAAAAAATAGCATGCCGAGGCCGGGTGTGGTGGCTCACACCTGTAATCCCAACACTTTGGGAGGCCGAGGCAGGCAGATCACCTGAGGTCAGGAGTTCGAGACCAGCCTGACCAACATGGAGAAACCCTGTCGCTGCTAAAAATACAAAATTAGCTGGGCGTGGGGATGCATGCCTATAATCCCAGCTAGGGGCTGAGGCAGGAAAATCACTTGAACCCGGGAGGTGGAGAGGTTGTGGTGGGCCAAGATCGCGCCATTGCACTCCAGCCTGGGCAACATGAGCGAAACTCTGTCTCAGAAAAAAAAAAAAAAAAAAAGCATGCAGAAATCAATAGCTTTGATGCACACACCACTAATCAATTGGAATATATAATGGTAGTGAGAAACATCCAATTTATAATTACAAAAAAAATACTTAGGAATAAACTTAACAAGAAATGAGCAAAATCCTCATGACAAAACTTTAAAACATCCCTGAACGACATAAAAATAGACTTGCACAGATTAGAAAACACCTCTTTTACTTGTATTGAATAGCTCAACATCAGAAAGATGTAAGTTCTCCTTAGTTTTACAATTTAATGCAATCCCAATTTAAAATATATTAAGAAGCTTTTTAAAATGGAGTTACACAGGTTGATACTGAAGTTCACATAGACAGAATAAGAATAAAAATACTTATCTTTTTAAAAGCTATGTCTGGTGGTCTTTTCGCCAGAAAAAAATATAACATGGTATAAAACATCTATATTTAAAATATTGTGATACTAGCGCAATAATAGACAGAAAGATCAGTGAAATAGAACAGAAATTCTAGAAACAGAGCCAAGTATGTCTGGAAAGTTATTATATAATAAAGGTGGTATTTCAAGTAATTGGGACACAGATGTACTTTATAATAAATGGGCTGAAACAAGTGAATAGCAATGTGGAAAACATTGGTAAAACTAGAGCCATACTTCACATCATATGAAGATTAAACTCCAACTGGATCCAAGAGTTACACATAAAAACTGAAACCACACAAGTAATAGAAGACAGCATGGGTGAATTTTTCTAAAACCCAGGTAGAGTGAAGGGCTTTCTGGAATGCAGGGGCAATAAAAGACACGACTGATAAATTTAACTACATCAAAACAAAAGAATTTTGAATAACAAAGAAGAACACCTCAACCAACCTCTTTGGATAGAGTCAAAAGCAGATGATACACTGGGAAAAATATTTGTAACACAACACAGATAAAGAACTGAAATCCCTAATATTGTAAAAGATTCTTATAATTGAGAGGAAAAAATTCTAAAACTCTGATAGAAAATAGGACGATGGGCAAAAGACAGATGATTTACAATATATATATATAATTCTAAACATTTAAAATATATTCATTATATTCATAATATAAGAGATGCAAATTAAAACTATACAAATATATTAATGTCATTTTTCTCAGATTGGTAACAACTGAAAGCTTGACAACGTATTTTGTTGTGAACAAAATGAACAGACACTTTCATACTTTTCTTATGGGAATGTAAAAAGGCACACTCCTCCGGGGGGAAATTTGACAGCATCTAACAACTTATTTTTCACCCAGAAACCTGTCTTCTAGGTTTATACCATGAAGACACAACTTCAACATTACAAAGGTATATACCCGTGAGATTGTTAATTACATTACTGTAATTGCAAAACATTGGATGCAACGTGAATGCCTCCATTTTTAAAATTTGTTCAAAATGAAGAACTTTGCAGCTGCACAAAAGAATGGGGATGATATCTATGAACAGATAGGGAATGACTTCCAGGATTTATTGATAAATGTAAAGAAAGCAAAAGTACAAAAAAAGTGCAAAAGTGTATAAATAGTGTATTTGTGTAAAAAAACTTTTTGCAGAAAAGAGACACACTGGAAGGATGAGGCAGAAAGGAACGAAATGGTATCTACAGAAGGTAGGTGGGAAGAGGCTGGAAGGGAAGGGGGAGTAACTGACACTTGTCTAAGTATATTTTTAAGAAAATTTTTTACTTTCTGAACTATGTTAATATTTTATATACTCAAAGCATTCTATCAGTGAGAATAGGGGGAAAACCCTAAAACAAAATAATAAACCAAACTAAATGAACCAAATTGTATTCCAAATGAAAAAATAACCATATTAAGTGAGTGTACTGTGGGAGAAACAACATTAGTAATTCCTTTTTTTATAGAAAAGTTTCAAAAAACAATATGGAGAATTTCCTTATATCCCCTGTTCAGTTTTCTTAATGTTAATTTCATCAAGAATAAGAAATTAACACTGGTACAATATGAATTAATTTACCTTACTTTAACTAAATAACCTCAATCTAAATAACCTCAGTTGTCACTAAATAACCTAAGTTTAATAAATGTCAAGACATTTTTTAGGCTTCTTTTTCCCAGTAGTGTTGGTTAGCAATTCTGAAATGACTTTCTCTGTACTGAGCAAATGAATAAATATACCGACAGTGGGAACAAGTTTCTCTTGAAGAAGGGACTTAGAATGTGGAATGCTGGCAGATAGGCTAGGAAAAATCTTGTGGTGTTGGATGGGAATTAGAGGCATCAGTATGAATTTATGGACATATAAATAGTTATAAAAATATGTTTGTATAATACTGCATGTTCTCACTTATAAGTGGGAGCTAAATGATGAGAACACATGGACACATAGAGGGGAGCAACACACACAGGGGCCTACTGGGGGTGGAAAGTGGGAAGAGGAAGATGATCAGGAAAAATAACTCATGGGTACTAGGCTTAATACTTGGGTGATGAAATAATCTGTACAACAAACCCCCAAGACATAAGTTTACCTGTAAAACAAACCTGCACGTGTACTTCTGAGCTTAAAAGTTAAGAGAGAGAGAGAGAGCAAGAGAAAGGAAAGAAAGGGAAGAAAGGAAGATAGAAAGAAGAGAGAGAGAACAAGAGAGAGGGACAGAAAAAGAAAAAGAAAGACGGAAAGACAGAATGACAAAAGAAAGAAAAAGGAAACAAAAAGAAAGGAAAGAAAAGAAAGAGAGAAAGAGAGAGAAGGCAAGAAAGCTAGATAGATTGATTTTGAGGACAAAGCTCTGATTTTTTATCTTGCCCAAATTCCTATGTAAGGGGTCTGGGGAGTCATGCCCTCCAAACCATAAATTCTCCTCAGATGGGTTTTATTTGACCATGTATATCATGACTTACTTTCCAATATGACTGTGGCATAACAAGGAAGAAAATCAAAATGTTTTACCCCAAAATATATTTTGTTGCCATACCTTGAAATTGCCCTGCAAAGTCTCTTGTGGGAAAAACCCACATTCTATAGGAATCCCCTTTCCCCTTTGTTTTCCTTCCTTCCTTCCCAGATCCAGGAGATAATCAGCTAAGAGCCAGGTATCCTTTTAGGTCTGATAAGGAACATTTTACAACCTGCTCTTTCTCTCCGAAGTTTGCTGTCTGAGAGATTCCTCTGCACAATAAAACTTGATTTCCACAATCCTTTACCTTAACCTGAACATTCCTTTTCATTCATCCCAGGTCTTCAGATAAACTCAACCAACTGTCAACCAGAAAATGTTTAAAATTACCTATAGCCTGGAAACCCCTCTGGCCTGCTGCTTTGAGTTGCCCCGCCCTTCTGAACCAAACCAATATATTTCTTAAATGTATTTGATTGATGTCTCATGCCTCCCTAAAATATATAAAACCAAGCGGTACCCCAACCATCTTAGGCACATGGTCTCAGGGTCTCCTAAGGGCTGTGTCACAGGCCATGGTCACTTATATTTGGCTCAGAATAAATCTCTGCAAATATTTTACAGAGTTTGACTCTTTTCATCAACAATTTGTATGAACATATATTGGTGTTCATTTCCTAATTCTGTCTGCTAAAAAGTACTGAGAACAATAAAATCTGAAACCTAGTGAGCAGATCTTGGATTCTTCAGACCATTATTCTTGGAGAAATAGCTCAGTCCAGGACAAGAACCAGAAAGTTCAACATTAGCGTGGAACATCTTCCTAAAGCAGAAGGTAAGAAATGTTCAAAAATGATGAGGACATATCAAAAGGACATGAAGGCCAGCCTGAAGAAGCTTTCGCTGGCCAAATCTGGAACAGTTTGGGCATCAAAAAATAGTAATATTAATAGTTTGTTATCCACTGAATAAAATAAGAATCCATACTTCCATGTTTAAATAAAAAAGGAAAACTCTTCTTACAGTGGGTGAAAGATTATAGGGAAGAGGATAGATATTTACATCATCTTGAAAGATCTCACAATACATTTTTCACTAATTGTACAGGGTTAATGGTAATTTTACTGTTAAGAAAAATAAAAGAAAAACCTAGTGAGAACTACCTTAACCAAAGAAATGAAGTAATACTGCCAATAATGGTACCAGCCAATATCATATGCCTCCTGATACAATGCAACAAGGAGGCTCATCACTGAGGTGATATTCCTGCCAAAAAGCATAATATGAATCTAATAATGAGAAAATATTGGACAATCCGATTGATAGAGCAAAACAAGTAAACTGATTGAAAAATAAACTAGCCTATGTTCTTTAAAAAGGTTAGAAAAGAAAGCCTTAAGAAATAGTCTACATTACAGGAGACAAAGTAACAACTAAATGCAAGTCATCTTTCTAGATTAGACTCTGGACCAGGAGAAAAACAACTCTAGGGGACATTACAGGGACAATTGGCAAAATTTGAATTTGTAGATTAGGCAATAGTTTTGTATCAATCTTAAATTTTCTTATTCTGCTAACTATATTGCGATTAAAAAAGACAAGTCTTTGTTCTTATGCAATACACATTCAAGAATTTGTCATAAAGGAGCATAATGTCTTCAACTTATCCTCAAATGGTTCAGGAAATGGAGGGGTGGGGGACATAGAGAGGGAACAAGAGAAACTGATAAAGGAATATGGAAAAATGTTAACCATCAGTGAATTTAGGTGAAAGGTATACAAAAATTCTTTATATTTTTCCTACCACTTTCCTGCAAGTTTGAAATTATATCAAAAGTTACAAAGAAACTAAAGGACCATCAATAGGGGACAGATTTTTAAAAAGCAGTTCTTATCAAAAGTACAAAGAATGAAATAGATCTATACACAGTCATGGAAAGCTCTCCAACGAATACTATTAAAGTTTTCTTTTATAAATAGTTGGAAAATAAATAATTAGCCCACATATCTAAAGCATAAACCTGTACATGTCTTTGCATGCATATTCATATGCACAAATTCATGGAAAACTTATGACAGAGGATATTAAAAAATATAATGTCAGTTACCTCTGGAAAGAAGTGAAAATGTCAGACTGGTCAAAGAAGATCTTTACTTTCATTTGAGTTTTCAGAGAACATTTGTTCAGATATTACTGACATTAATGAAAACAAAGTAAACAGAAAAACTTTTTAAAGCACACTAGAAGGTAAATAACTTAGGCAACAGTAGAAAATAGGAAGGAAGGGATTCAAAAACACTAAGGAAGGAATTAGCCTTGAATAAAGAGATTATGTTTTTTTGCAACATCCAGGAAAGGAAGGTTGTAAAGCTAGATGCAGGTATAGATTTATTTGGAGGTGCAGGTGGGAGAAGGTGTTTCACATCTGATGGTCTCTGTTTTCCATGAGATAGGATGCAAGGTTAACCACTAAGTTAAAGAGGAAGTTTTCAGAGTGAGTTTAGCCTGAGGAATGAAAACTAATGGGAGACATGATAGTTGTCTTCATATACTTGCAAGACTCTTATGCAGGGAAGAATAGATTCATTCTATGTAGACAAGAACCATCAGGAGTAAGACCTAAAAAGGTAGATTTTTAATTCAAAATCATGGTTTTCCAACATGGAATGGGCTGCCTTTACATATAATAAGCCTGCTGACATTAGAATTGTTTAGACAGAGGTTGAAAATATTAACAATTGTATTCTTTGCATATCAACACATGTCAGGCCAGGCACGGGGGCTCACACTTGTGATCCCAGCACTTTGGAACCCTGAGGCAGGAGCATCACTTGAGGCCAGGAGTTCGAGACCAGCCTGGCCAACATGGTGAAACCCTGTGACTACTAAAAATAAAAAAAAATTAGCCAGGCATGGTGGTGCACACAAGGTTGAGGCACAAGAATCGCTTGAACCTGGGAGATGGAGGTTGCAGTGAGCCGATTTCATGCCACTGCACTCCAGCCTGGGCGATAGAGCAAGACCGTACCTTAAAAAAAAAAAAAAAAAAAAAAGACATCTCAAGTCTCTGCCTCTTGCCTAGGCTCCAACCACTCTGAATCATTCTGTGATGGAGTTTCTGTAGAACTCTCCTGTTGCCAAATTGTTTGACTCTACAACATCTCTTAAAAATTATTATAAACTATTTCTCATAATACTGATATATCTAAACATAATACACTCACCCACCTACCACCCAGCTTGATAAATAAAACTTTATAACTACATAAGAAATCCCTTGTAATCCTAGGATATTGCATTTCCTTTTCACTCCATTCCCTCTCCTCCCTATCATTATCCTGAACTTAGTATTTCTCTTTCTCATGCTTTTCTTTATACTTTTTATAACATGTATCCTCTGTTTTTATATACGTCTAAATTTTATGTAATGTTTCACTATATGTATTTTCTGATAATTCCCTTTTGGGCGCAAAATTATGAGATTCATTTGGGTGTGTGTGTGTGTGTGTGTGTAGCTGGATAGTTTATTGTAGTATATTCATTTTGCTGATGGGCATTTAAGTCAGTTTTGATATTTCCATGGTTATACACAGTACTGATATGAAAGTTCTTGCACACATCTTCTTGTGCATCTTCTTGTGTTGAGTGTTGCTAGGGCAGAGCTCACCAAACAACAGTATACAGGTTCCTTTTTGCCATGATTGGCTTATTGTTGAGCTGAGGCGGTAACACCTCTTCAGCTTTAAGTTGGCCAACTGGAGTCTAGGAGTTCATAGAGTTATCTACAGACACAAAGAGTATCTTCCATTAACTCTAGTATGTCATAAACTATTAACATTCCCTCTCTCTCTCAAGTCACACAAGAATGTTGAGAACAGTTCTAGAACTATGCTTCTAAAACTATCAGGAAGATCAGATTTTTATTTCCAATTGATCCTAGACTGATATTTTTGTATAATACAAAATAGATGACATAGCAATATCAAATTATTATCAAAGTTTTAGCCTACTCTCAATATTGCGGCTCATTTCCTCATGGACTGGTCACAGCAGTTCATAGAATGAAGCTTGCCTGAGGACCACACTTTGAGTAGCACTATTCTATATACCTGGGAGTGGAGTTGCTGTGCAGTTAAATTTGCACATCTTGAAATTTACTAAATTGGTCGAATTGTTCTTCAAAACAATAGAACCTATTTACAACCTACCAACTAGGGAAAATTGTTTATACTGTGTCATATAGTTGTCAACTATTAGTATGAACACAATTTTTAACTTTCGCTGTCTCATAGCTGTGAAGTTGTATCACCTAGTGATTTTGAGTTGTAAAAACTTCTCATGTTTATTGGACATGTGGGTTTCTTCTTCAGTTAATTATCTATTCATTTCTTTGCCCATTTTGTCCCTACTGGGTGGCATTTTATTTACTAATTTTTTAGGCTTTCTTCACATGTTATGAAACATTATTTGTATAAATTTGGTTATGATATTGTAAATATTTATTGATAATTTTAATTTGTTAATAGTTTATTTAGGAGTTTTGCTTTGGTGTTCATACATGACAATGGCCTAAAATTTTAATTTGTTATATTGTACTAGCATCATAAAAGTACCTATTGAGTGCTACAGTGGTCCTTTTTATCATAATTTAGGATTTTCTCTTTCTAGATTTACAAAATTGGAATTAACTATCACTTGAGAGTTTGCTTGAACTTGTCTGGAAAATCACCTGGCCTATAGTTTTCCATGGAAAGCTATTTAACCACTCACTCACTCACTGATTTAAAACAATTATGAGTTTATTGAAGAGGTCACTTTGCTGAGTCACTTAAAATCTTTTATTTTCTAAGAACAATTCTATTCTGTTTTCAGTTCTATTGGAGTAAAGTTACTCAGGTTATCTTTTATTATAGTTTTAAAAACCTACTACACCCATTGTTATGACTTTCATTTAAATTTCTACAATTACTTATTTGTACTTTCTCTGTATTTTTTACGTTGGTAACAATTCCCAAAAGTTTATCTGTATTATTAGTCTTTCAAAGACCCAACTTTTTGCCTTACTCATCTTCTTTGTTCCTGTTTAAAATTTTACTAAATAATCCTCTTAGCTATTTCATTTTTTCCCTTAAACTTTATTTGGGCTTATTCTTTTCTAATATATATACTTCTTCTTTTATTCATATTTCCTTTCATTCTCAGTTTTCGGTGTTTAACAGTATTCGTTTTCAAACTTTTTAAATTGGGCACTTAGCTCAATTTTTAACTTAAACTTTCCCTTTTGTGAACTAAGTAAATACCTGTAAGCATTTTAAACATGCTTTCTGAAGTTCCATATGTTTGTATATGAACTATATATATATACATATATATATATATATGCATCATTGTGCACAAATTATTATACAGCCCAACACACTTTACCAGGACCCCAGATGCTCCTATCATGACCTCTTCAGACATTTACCTCCCCTCCCCAAAGACAACCATTATTCTGACTGCTAACAACAAATACAGAGATTACTTAAGCTTATTTTGAACTTTATATATGTAAGATTATATTCTATGTGTTTGTGTATTGCATTTTGCATACCACATTATGTCTGTGAGATTCATCTATGTTAAACTAGTTACAGTGACTTTTTTCATTTCTATTACTGTATTTTCACTGTATACTTACAACACATTACTTATATTTTCTACCATTAATATTCATTTTTGTTGTTTTTAATTTTGACTAACAAGAATAATATTACCATGAATATGCTTATACATATATTTTAGGAGATATATTTATGCCTATTAGATATATACACAGGAGTGAAATTGATGAGGCATAGGGCATGTGAGTATACTCAACTTTGGTAGTTAATTATTGCCAGTTTTCCAAAGTGGTTGTACTTATTTGTATTCCTACATCCAATATCTGAGAGTTTCAATTGCTCTGCATCATCAGCAATACTTAATGTTGTTGGTCTTTTTAATATTAGCCATCCTGGTCAATGTTTAGTAGTATCTCAATGTAGTTTTAATTTACATTTATCTGATCAATAGTGAAGTGAAACACCTTTTCATATACATATTGCTCATTTTCTTTATGATTTGTAAGAGTCCTTTTATACATACTGGATAAGAGTCTGTGCCTTTTGGCTTATATTGTTATAATTGGAATGGAACTTTTTATTGGTTTTCTTAAAATATATACATTTTTTCCTTTCTTATTGTGAATTCTGATTGTATGATGATCTGTAACTTCATTATGATTTGTCCAGATATTTATCTTTCTTGAGACTTACCATGCTTCCTGAATTTAAGAAATTATACATTTCATAATTGTGAAAAATTATGTTTTATTTTTGAATATAGTTTTTCCTACATCTCTCCAGTCTCTTTTACTGGAATTATAATTATTTCTACATTAGAAATCCTCATTCTATACTCCATGTCCCCTACCCTCACTTTATTACTGTGCATAGCATTCTGGGCATTCTCTTTGGATCCATAGTCTAGTTCATTAATTTTCTCAGCTTCTACTCTATGTTTTAGATAACATCTTTCTCTTTTCTTCATTAATATTAATCTTCCTGCACTTCTTGAACCTCACTGACCCTTTTTTGACCTCAGAGTCTTTACATAAGTTGTTGCTTTTTGCTTGAAAGCTCTGTCTACCGGACATAGAACACAGGTCTGGGTACGGCTAACTCCTTATCATTTAGGCCTCGATTTAAGTGCAACCTCCTTAGAATTGACCAACAATGATAATACAACATCAAAACTGTGGTATGCAGTGAACGCCATGCTTAGAGGGAAACGTATAACTTTAAATACATATATAAGAAAGGCTGCATATCATAAAAAATGAAAAAGAAAACAAAGTATAGAGGATCATCAGGGAGAAAAGTTGGTTCTTTGAACAGATTTATAAAATTAATAAACATTTGGCAGGTGTGCTGAAGATCAAAACCAAACCATACCAAACGGACAATGTAAAGAATGATAAAAGAGACATCACACGTGATACCACAGACATTAAAAGATACTAAGGGAATATTATGAACAATTTATAAGCAATCAATTTGAAAATTTAGATAAAACAGATAATTTCCTAGAAAAATATAGCTTACTAAGACAGACAAAAGTAGAAAGAAAAGATGAAGAGTTCTATATTACTAAATGAATTTATAATCAGAAACCTCACCATAGAAACTTCCTACATCAGATATACTTATCAATAAATTCCACCAAACATTTAAATAGGTAGTAACAAAAACAGAAATAGAAAAAAGCTTCTCAATTCATTCTATGAGGATGCCAAAATCTCCATAAAAAAACCTGAAAAGCATTATCATAAGGAAAAAATATTATGAGCCGTTCTTCCTACATTTTGCAAATGTAAAATTAAGGAACAATACATTGGTACAAAAAAATCTGTGTATATATGTATGTACATATGTATGCATGTATGTATCCATACATTTATCTGGGTTTATTCAAGAACTGCAACACTGGTTTATCATTCAACATTCAATCAAAATAATTTGAAATTCAATCAAAGTAATTAACCAGATTAATAGAATAAAAAATATATAACTTCAACAGACTCATAAAAAACATTTGATAAATTAAATACCAATTCATTAGAGTAACTTTGGCAAACTAGAAAGAAAAAGGTACCTTCTTAATCCAATAAAAGAAATGTACAGAAAACCTACAGTAGAAATCTTATTTAACAGTAAAATATTGAAAGTTCACCCTAAGATCTTGAGGAGAACAACATTTTTCTAGAAGTTCTAGATCGAACAATAGAGAAAAATGAAATTAATTATAAGGAATAAAAAGGAAGAAATAATATTGTCAACACAGTATTTCTGTAATAACATAATTGTAATACAATTTAATCATGTACACAGATATTTCAAAACAGTTTACAAATCAATCATAAAATTAAGAGAGGTGCAAGTTTGAGGGGTAAAAGATAATACAGAAAAATCAATTGTATTCTATATATCAGCAAAAATAATTATAAATTAAAAATGTTTAAAAGATATAATTTACAATAGCATAAAAAATCAAATATCTAGGAGTAAATTTAATAGAAGATATAAAAGACTCTTACAGAGAAATTTATTATAAAGATATTTTAAAAGACCAAAACAAAGGGATATATTATATTCATAGATCAGATGATTCCATAATGTAAAGATGTCATTTCTCATCTATTTGATCTATAAAGTCAGTATAATCCCTTTCAATCTTCCAGCAGATCTTTCGGGGACATTGAAAAGATAGCTTAAACATTTTTAAAGAACTGCAAAAGGCCAAGAATGCCAAGACGATTTTAAAGGAAAAAATGTTAAGATATTTCACTTTCTGATCTCAAAACTTATTACAAAGGTAGAATGAGTAACAACAGCGTGACACTGCCAAAGGTATAGAAACCAAAGGAACAGAAGAGAGAGGCCTGAAGCAGATACTTATTTTTGGACATTTGCTTTATAACACATGTAGCCTTGAGGAGAAGTAGGGAAAATGAATACTTTTTCAATAGATGGTATTGTATCAACAGTCAGCTGGACTTCCATACGAAGTGGGGAACGGGCAAAAAGGAAAAAAACACTGGTCCTAGTTTTATTGAACTCTATTTATGTCCTCTGTTCTGCACGTTTACTTGGACCAATTACAATAAGATTTTGTTCAAGTCCCCTGCAAGATCTGTGGGAGAAAAACTAGATGGAAACCAAGAAAGGTTAGACATAAAGGTTACTGCAGAGGGCCATAGAGGGACTTGTAATCTGTGTTACTGCAGACTAAGACGCAGGGAGAAGGTAATGGTACCCTTAGATAGACTTGGAGTTAGAACAGAATACACTTGTGTCCCAATCCTCAGGAAGAACTCAGGGAGATGGCTCACATCTGTCATAGTGCAGAAGCAGACACAATGTTTGCATGTTATGTCTAAGCAGATGGAAAGACACAACCTTACAGTGTTCTTCACACCATCATTTGGCAATGAAGTTGCATGATGATCTATGTGCCAGACACAAGCAAAACTTTCCAAAGCCAAATTCATGAAGAAGCAGTAGAATGTTTCCCATGTGAAGGAGATAATGACATGGTACAGAAAGTTTGGAGGCCTGAGGTCCTGAGGCTATAAACTATGGAGGACGCAAGTACCTGATATGGAAAAATGAAAAGCCAGACAGGCCGGACTCAGTGGCTCATGCCTGTAATCCCAGCACTTTGGGAGGCCGAGGAGGGTGAATCACCAGAGGTCAGGAGTTCGAGACCTGCCGAGTCTGTCCTGCAGACTCTGGCTGAGCAACAGATGAAAGAAGTATGCAGACACAGGTATTTTACCTGACAGCATGGCTAGGGAACTGCACCACTTAGCACCAACAACAAGAGTGCAGCCCCGATAAGCCGGAGACACTCATATTTATTTTGGTACTGATTTAATGGCAAAGGCTCAGAGCAAACACAATTTGTGGGTAATTAACACTGTCAACCCCACCCACCCTCCCCCAGTAGAGAGCAGTCCTGCACACAAATGATTGAAGGTAGGTTTCTGGAGACTTAAGTAAACAAATTTATCTACATAAGTTCCTTTACATTCCCTTGTTATCTACCCTTTGCTCTGAAGAGAATTTAGCTGAAGGCAGCTAAATTAGCTGGTCCTTCCCAGAAGGTTTGCATCTTTCCCTATAATTTTTCCCACCATCCTGACCAATCTCCTACAGAGACCAGCCTGGCCAACCTGGTGAAATCCCATCTCTACTAAAAATACAAAAAATTAGCCAGGAGAGGTGGTAGATGCCTGTAATCCCAGCTACTTGGGAGGCTGAGGCAGGAGAACTGTTTGATCCCGGGAAGTGGAGTGGGCTGAGATCACACCATTGTACTCCAGCCTGGCAACAAAAGCGAAACTCCATCTCAAAAAAAAAAAGAAAAGAAAAGAAAAGAAAAGAAAAGAAAACCCAGACAAAAATGTGGCCAGTTCAACAGGTTCCAGTTTAGATCATTACTCCAAGAAGCAAACGCACATGCCGGAGGACTTATCCCTGAAGGCCCCTGAAACTAAAACATGACTCTGGTTGAATCCTAAGATACGTCAAACTGACTGAGATTATATTTCTGCAGGCTGAATTTTGTACTCACCACATGAGTTTGTCCGAATCTGGAAAACAACCCTAAAAATGGGAACTGCCAAATAATTTCAGGGCCCACTTTTACATTTGAGTTTGCAACTATATTGTGTCCGAAAAGTGCAAAAGATGCTGTATAAAAGAATGTTTGTAATAGTTAGAGCAGAATAGAATTTACATGGTCAGCAAAAGCATAAATACAGCAAAAACAATTTTAAAAGATATTAAGTGCAGTTATTATTTGCAAATTATCTTTCCTGAGGACTAGTTCATTAGCAGTAATAATAGTAAATTAGTAATGAGGAATTTTGTTTTTTTTTCTTATTCCAGAAATGATTGGATTAGAAATAAAAGTCAATTTCAATATCACTGCAATATTAATCTGATGTTCAATGAACGAAATAGTTCTGCAGTTATTCAGAACACTAATAAAACTGATACATCATGTTTTCTTATTGCCAGAGTATGTTATAGTGTGTTATAATTTTCCTGAACTGCCAACTAGTTGAAAATTTTAATATCTTAGTAACATAATTTTATGAATAGGCTAAAGTATAACTGAATTATTACATCTGTGTGAGTTTTTCCAAAGTAAAAACAAAAAGCCAAATAAACAGACACAAATGTGTGGCCACAAAATTTTGCTATTAAATCTAACACCATTGTTGCAATTTCAGTATCATTTGTCATGTTTCCTTAATGCTTATAATTTGAGTTTTCCTGGCTTTATAGTTTTACTTATTTTGCAAATTTGCCCTAGATTTATATTTGTCAAAGAACTATAAAGAACTTATCTCTAGTTTTATGTTCATACACATTTAGGTAACATTAAAAGGATAATAATTACTTCAATACTGATGGTAATTTAAAAATTCAGTCCTTACTCAAATTTGAGAAATACTGCAGTAAACCATTAGCATCTCACAAATCTTATCCTAGAGCACTTCTGGCTTGGATCATAAAGAGACATCACTATTGTAACACAAAAATAATTTATTATTTAAATCAAATGCTTCAGTTTTATTTACAAACTGGTCCATCTTCATGGCAAATGTTCATTTAACTCTGTGACATAACATATATCATTTAATCCAAGAGCTAAGCCTAAGATATAGACATTCTCTCCCTCTTACAGATTAGAAAAGACATTTAGGAGGGCTAATGCCCATGGTCCTTTTTTGGTAAGTGACCCAGGCACGATCAAATCCAGTCAATTCTAAAGCCCATTCATTCAATAGCCATGCTGTATTTTCTCGACTCTTAAACTTTCATATAAATTATTTACTCATTCTTGCTTCTTCTCTCACCCGTGCCGAATTGACCAACCAAACAAGCAACTGTTATCTAACTTTGATATTTCTTCAGTGAGATGGTTCCTATTAGTGCCTGCTTCATTTTCCCATAGCCTCCAACCTGCCTAACTCAGGCCATGACATTTTCCCAGCCTACTGTAAGTCTCCTCAATATTCTGCATATCCCAGTATCTTCTCATCTGAGACACCTTGGTTCAAGCCCCAGACTCTGCAGGTTGAGTGTGTTGCAGGATGCACCTTGAAAACCTGCCCATAGAATCAACCACAAATTTTTGGCATAGCTCAAAATGTTCCTGGTACTTTACCACTTGGTGTGTCCTAGTGTTAAACCTATAGTTTTCCAGTTTGATGCATTTTCCCATTGGGTAACTTCAGGTCCTAAACCATTTCCTTCAGGGATCCTTCCCCAGCTTCCTAGTCCTCTCTGGAGGATCTGTATATGTGAGAGTCTTGTGCCAACTGCTGTTTGCCTTGATGCCACCACTACTTTGCTTTCCTCTTCAACCACATAAAGTATGACTGATATTTTTCTTAGATTATTGTGGGTTGTTTTATAACAGTTGCCCTCTTTACCACTAACAGGAGCTATTGAAGTGACTAGGAAATACCAACCTCTACACTATTATTCTCCTAGAGGAGTCACTTTTTAGGGTTTTGTAGGTTAAAAGTTTGGCAATCCTCTCCTTTCCACAGATACAAAGCTTTGAGGTCTCAGATGTGTCACTCCAATCTGACTCTTAGGCCCTTATACTGAGTCTAATGCCTCATGCCTAATTTCTTACTGTTTGGAAGTTTTTCTTCCAGAGGCTCTGCAGTTTATTTTTACAATTTAGTTTCTTTATGGCCTCTCCAACCCCTTTACTAGGCACATTTACATAGGTCAACCCTCGGTATACACAGTACACTTTCCCACAAAATTCCTTTCCCACAAAGCTCTTAAATCCTCAGGCAAATCAGCAGATTCTGGGGTGTGTATTGGCTAACAAAACACACCCTAAATGCATCTAAGTCTCCACTCCAGTCCAGATAGGACCATGCTTATATGCTAGTTAAGGCCTGCCATGACTTCACCCCAAATATTGTCCTTCATGTTGTTTCCTTTGCTTTCACTTAACGTATTCCCTGGGATTCCCTTTTTCTTCCCTAATCACGTTGTTAGAATCCTACCTGTCCTCTGGGGCTCAGCTCAAATGCAAATTCCGACGTAGCCTTCCCCACTAATCTCAGCTGAAAATGAAGGCTTCTTTCTCTGGGCTCTCGGACTGCTTCCATGGCTCTCACCTTGGGGCTTAACATACCTTGCCTTCTGCTTCAGGTGACAATGGACAAGACCTCTTCTTCATAAACAGAGAAGAGTGTTGTGTTTTTCTGGGCATTGCTCAAAAATTCAAAGCATATTGAATTATACATGTTATATGCCCATTAGTATTTATTAATTGAACAGAAATTTATTGGCCTTGAAGTTAGTATCCTAGCAAGGATCGTTGGTCCCAATTAGAAGAAAAATCTCATTGTCTCCTGTCAGTCTCTCGAGTTCTTAGTGTTCTCCTGATGGCATCTTGAGCAGTTAGTTGATCCTCACTTAGAAAGCTTGATCCGGAGCTCCTGCTGCTTGGAGCCTACCAGCAGCCTGAACCACACTGCGGCTGAGCTCCAGAGATATTTGCTTTCAAACACTTAACATTTGCTTTGTGTTACCCTTTTATTAGGAAGATTAAAATTGAAAGGGAAGCAAGTGAGGCAGGGTTTTCTTCTTTTCTTTCTGCAAGAACAGCTTGTTTCCATGACATTTATACAGTGAGCTTTTTCTAAATGACAAGCAGATTGTTAGATGTTATTTTCTATTTCTTTGCTTTGGGTCTTCACTTTGTGGGTGTAATGTAAGAGAGACAGCCTCACTAGGAGGGTGACTGTCAGGTATTCTGATTCCAGGGGGGGATTAGGTAGGGGTTTGTTGAATACTTTCTTTTAGGGTTGCTATAGCAGCAGCCTAACATATTCTGGCTAGAAGTTGTAAGATGTATCAGTGTTATTTTTTTTACATGGAGTAACATTTCTACAGATATAAGTGTCTGCTCTTTTTAGTTCTCATAGTGAAGAAAGCTGAATGCTCACAGAAGCCATCTATGGTGGCAGAAGGAAGTTGTGAGTACCAAGACTGAGATGAAATGGCTGAATTTAGGCTTGCATCAGGGCTTGTCATCTGCAGAAGAGAAGTCAGCCTCTGAGGGATCTAATCATAAATCTGCTTACCCAGGCTGCTGATCATGACGCTGTGACTAATGAAAGAAGAAAGCATCAGGCCCTCCAACACTGAACCCAGCCATGCTCCATCTAAAAAGTCAGTATCACCTCATAGCCGCTCACTTTGTACAGGATACAAATTGCTTTAACCCATATTATCTCTCAAAAAGAACTCCAAGGAGACAGGCTTCATTCTGTATCAGAAGTCTTTCCTTTAACCAGGTCTCACCCTTTACCATGCTCTCTCGTCATACTCATTGTTACTTTCTTGATTTAGGCCTCATGGGTGCCTACATGGATTTTTGCAACATGTCTCTGAGCTCTAGGCATCAAATCTTCTCTCCTTGCTCTCCCAAGGGTAATAAATTACCCTAAAAACCAAACCTTATTATGTCACTCCATCTAATAGAAGAACTCATTTCTTCCCTACTGCCTACAAGATAAACACCAAACTTGTAAGATCAATATAGAAAGCTCTTCACATTTAATTCCAAAAGTGCTCTCTCCTTTCGCTTCCCACTGACTCTGCTAGCTGCCTCTGCACTACACCCCCAAGCATCCTAGCCTGGATTTCTCTATCTTCCTCAAACACACTAAGCATGAAATTATCACTGTCAGAGGTTGAGAGGCAGAAAAGGCTCTTGATAAAATCCAATATCCACTCATGTTAAAAACTCTCAATAAACTAGGTATTGAAGGAACATACCTCAAAATAACAAGAGCCACCTATGACAAACCCACAGCCAACATCATACTGAATGGTCAAAAGCTGAAAGCATTCCCTTTGAAAACCAGCACAAGACAAAGATTCCCTCCCTCACCACTCCTATTCAACATAGTGTTTGAAGTTCTGGCCAAGGTAATCAGGCAAGAGGAAGAAATAAAGAGCATTCAAATAGGAAGAGAGGAAGTCAAACTATCCCTACTTGTAGATAACTTTCCTAGAAAACCTAGAAAACCCCATAGCCTCAACCCAAAAGCTTCTTAGGCTAATAAATAACTTCAGTAAAGTCTCAGCATATAAAATCAATGTAGAAAAATCAGTAGCATTCCTGTAAACCAATGATAGTCAAGATGAGAGCCAAATCACGAACAAACTCCCATTCACAATTGCCACAAAAAAGAAAAGAATAAAATGTTTAGGAACACAGCTAACTAGGGAGGTGAAAGATCTCTCCAAGGATAATTACAAAACACTGTTCAAGTAAATCAGACATGGCACAAACAAATGGAAAAACATTCCATGCTCATGGATAAGAAGAATCAATATAATTAAAATAGCCATACGGCCCAAAGCAATTTATAGATTCAATGTCATTCCTATTAAACTACCACTGACATTTCTTAAAGGACTAGAGAAAAGTATTTTAAAATTCATGAGGAACCAAAAATGGGCCCCAATAGCCAAGGCAATCCTAAGAAAAAAGAACAAAGCTGGAGGCATCATGCTACCTGACTTCAAAACATACTATAGGGCTATATTAACCAAAACAGCATGGTACTGGTACAAAAGCAGACACAGAGAGTAATGGAACAGAATAGAGAACCCAGAAACAAGACTGTATACCTACAACCATCAGATTTCTGACAAACCAGATGAAAACAAGCAATGGTGAAATAATTCCCTATTTATGATTATTCATAATAATAAATGGTGCTGGAATAACTGATTATAGGCAAAAGATTGAAACTGGACACCTTCCTTATACCATATACAAAAATTAACTCAAGAGGGATTAAAGACTTAAATGTAAAACCCCAAACTATAAAAACCCTGGAAGAACAACCTAGGCAATACCATCCTGGACAGAGGAACTGGAAAAGATTTAATGATTAAGACACCAAAAGCAATTGCAACAAAAGCAAAAAGTGACAAATGGGATATAATTAAGGTAAAGAGCTTCTGCAAAGCAAAAGAAAGTATCAACAGAGTGAACAGACAACCTACAGAATGGGTGAAAATTTTTGCAAATTACGCATCTAACAAAGATCTAATATCCAGTATCTATAAGGAACTTAAACAAATTTACAAGAAAAAAAAGAAAACTAACCCAATTTGGGCAAAGGACATGAACAGACACTTTTCAAAAGAAGACTCACATGTGACCAACAATCATCTGAAAAAAAAGCCAACATCACTGATCATTAAAGAAATGCAAATCAAACCACAATGAGATACGCCAGTCAGAATGGCTATTATTAAAAATCCAAAAAAATAACAGATGCCAGTGAGGTTGTGGAGAAAAAGGAACACTTACACACTGTCAGTGGGTGTGTAAATTAGTTCAACAATTGTGAAAGACAGTGTGGCTGTTCCTCAAAGAGCTATAAACAGAAATAACCATTCAGCCCAGCAATCCCATTACTGGATATATACGCAAAGGAACAAAAATTGTGCTATCATAAAGACACATGCACACATAAATTCACTGCAGCACTATTCACAATAACAAAGACATGGAATCAACCTAAATGCCCATCAATAGTAGACTGGATAAAGAAAATGTGGTACATATACACTATAGAATACTATGCAGCCATAAAAAAGAATGAGATCATGTCCTATGCAAGAATGGAGCCATTATGCTTAGCAAATTAAAGTAGGAACAGAAAACCAAATACTGCATGTTCTCACTTATAAGTGGGAGCTAAATAATGAGAACACATGGATGCATAGAGAGGAACAACACACACTGGGGCCTTTTTGAGGGTGCAGGATGGGAGGAGGGAGAGGATCAGGACAGATAACTAATGAGTACTAGGCTTAATACCTGGGTGATGAAATAAATTGTACAAACAAATCCCCATGGTACAAGTTTACCTATACAGCAAACCTGTACATGTATCACTGAACTTAAAAGTCAAGAAAAAGACAGTAGAATCTTATTTTACCTCAAAATATTTGTTTGTTTGATCAGAATAGTTTTAAATAATTTAAATAGCTTTAAACAGGCACATGTTCTCCAACTTGCCACAGGGCCCTTTAATATTCCTCCTACCCCCTTTCACTTTGCATATTTATATCACTTGTCTACCCCTAAAGGCATTTGAATTTATGCTTCTTGAACAAAAACTACACTTCCTTTCTGGTAATAACATCTGCATCTTGTGTTATCTAGAACAAATATCACTACTAATTCAAAACACATTATGGTTTACCCAGAAAGAGTGTTGCTCCATTTTCTCTCCCACAATCTGTTCTTTCATCTACAATAACATTAATGAGACACTGATAATTATGTTTATAATATGTCTCTTTACCCAATCATATTGCCGGATTCCTCAGGAGAAGTCAGTCTACAAATTTCTATAAGCATACTGTCTATCAGGGAGCTGAGCTGGGTAAAAATTTGTTGCAAAAATGATCACTGTTTTACAGGTGACAAAGCAGTTTCGAGTTGGTTAAGCATATTCAATGGCATAGATTTTGTAAGAAGCAACACCACAAGTTGAGTCCTGGTGTTGTAAGACCAGTATTTTCACAGATCCCCACACTACCAGGGTTTCAGAAGCAAAAGGCCCATCATTCCTTTGTTCCAGTAACCTTATTCACTGCATGTAGCTGAGTCCTTGTATCACAGAGCTACTGGAGCTGAACATCAGTTAACTCCACGTGACCTTTGTGGTGGAGACAACAGCAATGAAATATAAACATACTCTCCCTCACCTTCTAAGTAGGATCGTGTAAACAATTTGGCCTGGGTTCATTGTTGTACTTCCAAGGGCAATGGAGAGAAATGAAGAGGCAAGCCCCAAGAATGGGTAGATGGTTCTAAGAAAAGAACTAGGGGCATCTGGAGAAGAAAATATTCGGGCGTGAAGAAATAAAAGGTTGGGAGGGGAAAAGGGGAAACAGAATCCACTGTGTCACATGGGACTTGGTGAGGAGCATGGCTCAAGAGAATTTTTAAGAAATTTTGCTGTATGTGGAGCTGTTTAATTTTCTGCCTCATTCTTCCCCTGGAGAAGACCTTCTTGTAGAAAACTCCATGAATCTTCCAAGCCGTGGGAGTCAGGTCTGTGTTTGTTTATGTTGTATTCATGTATTGCAGTGTTATGTTATGTAAAGGAACAGCAGAAAGGCTCAGGATCATTTGGTAGCATATTTACTTATTTTCATTTTCAATCAAACTTAAGAATTATTGTATCATATTAAAGCAGAGGCCCAGAGAAACCACTTGATTTGTTAAGTTGCTTTCAAACCAGAGAAGTCACACTTTTTTTTTCAGGGGTTAAACTAGAGCCCCATGAAAATAAAGAGAAAGGAGTAAGATCCTCCAAGATGTAAGAAATACATTATAAACAAGGTGATTTAAAGAAAAAAGTCTTTGAGTGGAAGCTGAAAATTTCAGCCATGAAGAAGTTGCTCTTCTGTATTGTGGAATTTATAACCCATATTTCATCATCGCCTTACATCCATTCCCCTCAATCAAAAGGAAAAGCAAAATATGCAGATAATAAAACTCTTCACTGATACACTGAACTATTTGTTCTACCAGCTTTCTCCAGTCCATCCATTTTTGAATCAAGTTAAGCTCATAGCAGAGACATATTGATACCAATGTTTTTTTAAACCTTTCATTTGTTAAGTGATTTTCTTCCTTTTTTCTTTTTTGAGACAGAATCTCACTCTGTTGCCCAGGCTGGAGTGCAGTGGCAGAACAGTGGCTCATTGCAACCTGTGTCTCCTGGGTTCAAGCAATTGTCCTGCTTCAGCCTCCCGAGTAGCTGGGATTACAGGCATGCCCTACCATGCCCAGTTACTTTTCGTGTTTTTAGTAGAGATGGGGTTTCATCATGTTGGCCGGGCTTGTCTCTAACTCCCGACCTCAAGTGATCTGCCCACCTAGGCCTCCCAAAGTGTTCGGATTACAGGCATGAGCAACCACACCTGGCTAATTTTCTTCTTTTAAACATTAGAGACCATAGCATGGCTGTGTAAAGAAGAAATATTTTCCCACTGTAACTGAAACAATGTGTTCAAAGAGGTAAGGAGAAATACTCTAAGGAAGACAAGTACCCTCTGAAAGGTAGGAAATGACCAAACATTTGAATCAGTCATGAACTAGTTGAAGGTATATTATGGTATGTATACATTTAAGGATAGTGGTCTAAAGTATTCAGCAGTGTGTTCATTGTTATCTGTGTCTGACTTCCTCCATCTCTGCCATCAACTGTGTGACTGCTCAGGGCATTCAATCTTTTTGAGTCCCTAACTTTGCCAATATACTATGTTCATGCCTTGGAAGAGTCAATATTGTGTTGAGATATTAATTCTTTCTAAATTGTACTATAGATGTAATGCTATCCTATTAAAATCCCAGCAAATATTTCTATAGAAATTGACCCGTTGATTAAAAAATGTGAATGGAAATGCAAAGGACCTAGTATAACCAAAATGACCTTGAAAACAAAGAACAGAGCTAGAGGAATCAAACTACCTGATTTCAAGGATTAATTGTAATTGGGATATTGGCATAATTATATATTAAACAAAGAACAGAACATAGCTTACAAATATATATCAATAAAATATATAAATACTCAGTGAGAACATTTATACTGTATATGTGTACATGTACATCCATGAACATGCACCATGATAAATAAGAAAAGAATAATTTCTCAAAAACTGGGGCTGAACAATATCTATATTTAAAAAGTAAAACTGACCCTTCCCTAATGCCATATATAATAATTAACTAGATATTGATTATATGCCAAAACATAAGAAATAGAACTTCATAGTTCTATTTCTAGAAGAAAATATAGTGTAAAATCTTTCTGACCTTGTGGTAGGCAAAGATTTCACAGACAGGACATGAAAGGCTTGAATCACACAATTAAAAAATTGATAGAGTGGGTTTTATCAGTTTCTGGCACTCCAAAGACACTATTAATAAAATGAAAAGACAAGTCACAGATTAGGTGGGATTATATCATATATACATATACATTATATATAATACTAAATAAAATATATAAAGTAATAGAATTATTTTGAAAAACATATTGATATTAAAACATTAGACATGGACTTATCAAATAACCCAGAAGTTCCATTGTTAAATGTTTACCCAAGAAAGGTGAAAGCAATACATTGATATTTGGTATATTAACAACATATTACTTAGCAAGAAAAAGAAATGAACTATACACATGTGGATGAATCTAAAAATTATTAGGCTTAGCAATAGAAGCCAGCCACAAGAGAGTTCATATTGTAACTCCATTTATATAAGGCAAAATTAATCCATAGTGATAAAATTAAACAGTGGCTGCCTGGGGCGAGGGGAAAGGAGAGGAACTGGCTGCAAAGGGGTAAGAAAGAAACTTCTTGGGTGACAGAAATTTTCTATGTTTTGATTGAGATGGTGGTTACATGGGTATATTTATGTATCAACTTATAGAACTATACACTTAAAATTGGTGTATTTTACTGCATACAAATTTGAATTTATTAAATTTTATGTTTAAAAATGTAGCCACACTGAATTTCAATCCAGTGAAACACAGGAAATAAACTTACCACTCCTAGCCTTTCAGTCTTAAAAGTGAGTGGACTGTGTCTTACACATCCTTGAATTCACTGTTAGTACCACTCAATGGATATTTGAGCCAGACTCATTCTTAAAGGTATTTCAGAGCAGCTGCCCTTTACTTTTATGGTGTTAAATGATGCTGGAGGGACTAGGGTACTAGTTTTTAGTTTTCCTAAATGCCATGGAGATTTGTAGGTCAAAGATGTTTTTTTTCTTTTCTTTTTAATATATATATCTTTTTATTATACTTTAAGTTCTAGGGTACATGTGCACAACATGCAGGTTAGTTACATATGTATACATGCACCATGTTGGTGTGCTGCACCCATTAACTCGTCATTTACAATGGATATGTCTCCTAATGCTATCCCTCCCCCCACCCCCAACAGGCCCTGGTGTGTGATGTTCCCCACCCTGTGTCCAAGTATTCTCATTGTTCAATTCCCACCTATGAGTGAGAACATGCAGTGTTCGGTTTTTTGTCCTTGCAATAGTTTGCTGAGAATGACGGTTTCCAGCTTCATCCATGTCCCTACAAAGGACATGAACTTATCATTTTTTATGGCTGCATAGTATTCCATGGTGTATATGTGCCACATTTTCTTAATCCAGTCTATCATTGTTGGACATTTGGGTTGGTTCCAAGTCTTTGCTATTGTGAATAGTGCCGCAATAAACATACGTGTGCATGTGTTTTTATAGTAGCATGATTTATATTCCTTCAGGTATATACCCAGTAATAGGATGGCTGGGTCAAATGGTATTTCTAGTTCTAGCTCCCTGAGGAATCGCCACACTGTTTCCACAACGGTTGAACTAGCTTACAGTCCCACCAACAGTGTAAAAGTGTTCCTATTACTCCACATCCTCTCCAGCACCTGTTGTTTCCTGACTTTTTAATGATTGCCATTCTAACTGGTGTGAGATGGTATCTCATTGTGGTTTTGATTTGCATTTCTCTGATGGCCAGTGATGATGAGCATTTTTTCATGTGTCTGTTGGCTGCATAAATATCTTCTTTTGAGAAGTGTCTGCTCATATCCTTTGCCCACTTTTTGATGGGGTTGTTTGTTTTTTTCTTGTAAATTTGTTTGTGTTCTTTGTAGATTCTGGATATTAGCCCTTTGTCAGATGAGTAGCTTGCAAAAATTTTCTCCCATTCTGTAGGTTGCCTGTTCACTCTGATGGTAGTTTCTTTTGCTGTGCAGAAGCTCTTGAGCTTAATTAGATCCCATTTGTCAATTTTAGCTTTTGTTGCCATTGCTTTTGGTGTTATAGACATGAAGACCTTGCCCATGCCTATGTCCTGAATGGTATTGCCTAGGTTTTCTTCTAGGGATTTTATGGTTTTAGGTCTAACATTTAAGTCTTTGATCCATCTTGAATTAATTTTTGTATAAGGTGTAAGGAAGGGATCCAGTTTCAGCTTTCTACATATGGCTAGTCAGTTTTCCCAGCACCATTTTTTAAATAGGGAATCTTTTCCCCATTTCTTGTTTTTGTCAGGTTTGTCAAAGATCAGATAGTTGTAGACGTGTGGTATTATTTCTGAGGGCTCTGTTCTTTTGCATTGGTCTATATCTCTGCTTTGGTACCAGTACCATGCTGTTTTGGTTACTGTAGCCTTGTAGTATAGTTTGAAGTCAGGAAGTGTGATGCCTCCAGGTTTGTTCTTTTGGCTTAGGATTGACTTGGCAATGTGGGCTCTTTTTTGGTTCCATAAGAACTCTAAAGTAGTTTTTTCCAATTCTGTGAAGAAAGTCATTGGTAGCTTGATGGGGATGCCATTGAATCTGTAAATTACCTTGGGCAGTATGGCCATTTTCACGATATTGATTCTTCCTATCCATGAGCATGGAATGTTCTTCCATTTGTTTGTGTCGTCTTTTATTTCGTTGAGCAGTGGTTTGTAGTTCTCCTTGAAGAGGTCCTTCACATACCTTGTAAGTTGGATTCCTAGGTATTTTATTGTCTTTGAAGCAATTCTGAATGGGAGTTCACTCATGATTTGGCTCTCTGTTTGTCTGTTATTGGTGTATAAGAACACTTGTGATTTTTGCACACTGATTTTGCATCCTGAGACTTTGCTGAAGTTGCTTATCAGCTCACGGAGATTTTGGGCTAAGACGATGGGGTTTTCTAGATATAAAATCATGTCGTCTGCAAACAGGGACAATTTGACTTCCTCTTTTCCTAACTGAATATCCTTTATTTCCTTCTCCTGCCTGATTGCCCTGGCCAGAACTTCCAACACTGTGTTGAATAGGAGTGGTGAGAGAGGGCATCCCTGTCTTATGCTAGTTTTCAAAGGGAATGCTTCCAGTTTTTGCCCATTCAGTATGATATTGGCTGTGGGTGTGTCATAAATAGCTCTTATTATTTTGAGATACCTCCCATCAATACCTAATTTATTGAGAGTTTTTAGCATGAAGGGTTGTTGAATTTTGTCAAAGGCCTTTTCTGGATCTGTTGAGATAATCATGTGGTTTTTGTCTTTGGTTCTGTCTATATGCTGGATTACGTTTATTGATTTGTGTATGTTGAACCAGACTTTCATCCCAGGGATGAAGCCCACATTATCATGGTGGATGAGCTTTTTGATGTGCTGCTGAATTCGGGTTTGCCAGTATTTTATTGAGGATTTTTGCATCAGTGTTCATCAGGGATATGGGTCTAAAATTCCCTTTTTTGTGTGTGTCTCTGTGCCAGGCTTTGGTATCAGGATGATGCTGGCCTCATAAAATGAGTTAGGGAGGATTCCCTCTTTTTCTATTGATTGGAATAGTTTCAGAAGGAATGGTACCAGCTCCTCCTTGTACCTCTGGTAGAATTCGGCTGTGAATCTGTCTGTTCCCTGGACTTTTTTTGGTTGGTAACCTATTAATTATTGCCTCAATTTCAGAGTCTGTTATTGGTCTATTCAGAGATTCAGCTTCTTCCTGGTTTAGTCTTGGGAAGGTGTATGTGTCGAGGAATTTATCCATTTCTTCTAGATTTTCTAGTTTATTTGTGTAGAGGTGTTTATATTATTCTCTGATGGTAGTTTGTATTTGTGTGGGATCAGTGGTGATATCCCCTTTATCATTTTTATTGCGTCTATTTGATTCTTCTGTCTTTTCTTGTTTATTAGTCTCGCTAGCAGTCTATCAATTTTGTTGATCCTTTCAAAAAACCAGCTCCTAGATTCATGGATTTTTTGAAGGGTTTTTTGTGTCTCTATTTCCTTCAGTTCTGCTCTGATCTTAGTTATTTCTTGCCTTCTGCTAGCTTTTGAATGTGTTTGCTCTTGCTTCTCTAGTTCTTTAATTGTGATGTTACTGTGTCAATTTTAGATCTTTCCTGCTTTCTCTTGTGGGCATTTAGTGCTAGAAATTTCCCTCTACACACTGCTTTAAATGTGTCCCAGAGATTCTGGTATGTTGTGTCTTTGTTCTCATTGGTTTCACATAACATCTTTATTTCTGCCTTCATTTCATTATGTACCCAGTAGTCATTCAGGAGCAGGTTGTTCAGTTTCCATGTAGTTGAGAGGTTTTGAGTGAATTTCTCAATCCTGAGTTCTAGTTTGATTGCACTGTGGTATGAGAGACTGTTTGTTATAATTTCTGTTCTTCTACATTTGCTGAGGAGTGCTTTACTTCCAACTATGTGGTCAATTTTGGAATAAGTGTAGTGTGGTGCTGAGAAGAATGTATATTCTGTTGATTTGGGGTAGAGAGTTCTGTAGATTTCTATTAGGTCCACTTGGTGCAGAGATGAATTCAATTCCTGGATATCCTTGTTAACTTTCTGTCTCATTGATCTGTCTAATGTTGACAGTGGGGCGTTAAAGTCTCCCATTATTGTTGTGTGGGAGTTTAAGTCTCTTTGTAAGTCTCTAAGGACTTGCTTTATGAATCTGGGTGCTCCTGTATTGGGTGCACATTTATTTAGGATAGTTAGCTCTTCTTGTTGAATTGATCCCTTTACCATTATGTAATGGCCTTCTTTGTCTCTTTTGATTTTTGTTGGTTTAAAGTCTGTTTTATCCGAGACTAGGATTGCAACCCCTGCCTTTTTTGTTTCCCATTTGCTTGGTAGATCTTCCTCCATCCTTTATTTTGAGCCTATGTGTGTCTCTGCATGTGAGATGGGTTTCCCGAATACAGCACACTGATGGGTCTTGACTCTTTATCCAATTTGCCAGTCTGTGTCTTTTAATTGGAGCACTTAGCCCATTTACATTTAAGGTTAATATTGTTATGTGTGAATTTGTTCCTGTCGTTATGATGTTAACTGGTTATTTTGCTTGTTAGTTGATGCAGTTTCTTCCTAGCATCAATGGTCTTTACAATTTGGAATGTTTTTGCAGTGGCTAGTACCAATTGTTCCTTTCCATGTTGAGTGCTTCCTTCAGGAGCTCTTGTAGGGAAGGCCTGGTGGTGACAAAATCTCTCAGCATTTGTTTGTCTGTAAAGTATTTTATTTCTTCTTCATTTATGAAGCTTAGTTTGGCTGGGTATGAAATTCTGGGTTGAAAATTATTTTCTTTAAGAATGTTAAATATTGGTCCCCACTGTCTTCTTGCTTATAGAGTTTCTGCAGAGAGATCAGCTGTTAGTCTGATGGGCTTCCCTTTGTTGGTATCCCGACCTTTCTCTCTGGCTGCACTTAACATTTTTTCCTTCATTTCAACTTTGGTGAATCTGACAATCATGTGTCTCGGAGTTGGTCTTCTCAAGGAGTATCTTTGTGGTGTTCTCTGTATTTCCTGAATTTGAATGTTGGCCTGTCTTGCTAGGCTGGGGATGTTCTCCTGAACAATATCCTGAAGAATGTTTTCCAACTTGGTTCCATTCTCCCTGTCACTTTCAGGTACACCAATCAGATGTAGATTTGGTCTTTTCCCATAGTCCCATATTTCTTGGAGGCTTTGTTCCTTGATTTTTATTCTTTTTTCTCTAAACTTCTCTTCTTGCTTCATTTCATTGATTTTATCTTCAATCACTGATACCCCTTCTTCCAGTTGATCGAATTGATTACTGAAGCATGTGCATTTGTCACATAGTTCTCGTGCCATGGTTTTCAGCTCCATCAGGTCCTTTAAGGACTTCTCTGCATTGGTTATTCTAGTTAGCCATTTGTCTAGTCTTTTTTCAAGGTTTTTAACTTCTTTGTGATGGGTTTGAACTTCCTCCTTTAGCTTGGAGAAGTTTGATTATCTGAAGCCTTCTTCTCTCAACTTGTCAAAGTCATTCTCTATCCAGCTTTGTTCCATTGCAGGTGAGGAGCTGCATTCCTTTGGAAGAGAAGAGGTGCTCTGATTTTTAGAATTTTCAGTTTTTCTGTTCTTTTATTCCCCCCATCTTTGTGGTTTTATCTACCTTTGGTCTTTGATGATGGTGACATACAGATGGGGTTTTGGTGTGGATGTCCTTTCTGTTTGTTAGTTTTCCTTTTAACAGTCAGGACCCTCAGCTGCAGGTCTGTTGGAGTTTGCTGGAGGTCCACTCCAGACGCTGTTTGCCTGGGTATCAGCAGCGGAGGCTGGAGAACAGTGAATATTGCTGAACAGTAAATGTTGCTGTCCAATCGTTCCTCTGGAGGTTTCGTCTCAGAAGGGTACCTGGCCGTGTGAGGTGTGAGTCTGCCCCTACTGGGGGTGCCTCCCAGATAGGCTACTCAGGGGTCAGGGACCCACTTGAGGAGGCAGTCTGTCCATTCTCAGATCTCAAACTGTGCTGGGAGAACCACTACTCTCTTCAAAGCTGTCAGACAGGGACATTTAAGTCTGCAGAGGTTTCTGCTGCCTTTTCTTTGGCTATGTCCTGCCCCCAGAGGTGTAGTCTACAGAGGCAGGCAGGCCTTCTTGAGCTGCAGTGGGCTCCACCCAGTTCGAGCTTCCCAGCCACTTTGTTTACCTACTCAAGCCTCAGCAATGGCAGGCGCCCCTCCTCCAGCCTCGCTGCCACCTTGCAGTTCGATCTCAGACTGCTGTGCTAGCAATGAGCAAGGCTCAGTGGGAAGGGGACCCTCTGAGGCCAGCTGTGGGATATAATCTCCTGGTGTGCCGTTTGCTAAGACAATTGGAAAAGCTCAGTATTAGGGTGGGAGTGATCCGATTTTCCAGGTGCTGTCTGTCACTGCTTTGCTTGGCTATGAAAGGGAATTCCCTGATCCCTTGCATTTCCTGGGTGAGGCGATGCCTCGCCCTGCTTTGGCTCATGCTCACTGTGCTGCACCCACTGTCCTGCACCCACTGTCTGGCAAGCCCCAGTGAGATGAATCTGGTACCTCAGTTGGAAATGCAGAAATCACCTGTTCTGCATCACTCACACTGGGAGCTGTAGACTGGAGCTGTTCCTATTTGGCCATCTTGGAACCGCCTCAGATGTTTTTTTTCATCGTATGTTATGCACATTCTCTGATGGAGTCTCCAGGCTAGACTGTTCTGTTTGAGGTAAACTAACACCATCATGAGTCTACTGCAATTCTTGGAGAAGCTATTTTCACTAGAAGCATCAGTGGAGGTTTTACCTTTTATGCTATGTACTTTTTACCCTTAAGCATAAAGGAAAATGTCACTTTTATTCAGAAAATATCCTTTGCAATTTCACAGACTCTGATTATTAAATTCACATTTGCTATCTATATATTCCATCATTGTATTTTTTAGCAAGAGTGAAGAGCCTTAGAAGTGTTTCATTATTTTTGTTACCTTCACATAACTAGCAATTTAGGATACTTTGCCACCCAAACAAACTGACAGCTACTGGCATTGTGGACTTGATTTAAGAAATGTTGTACTTGATGTAGTTAAAAATTTTCCAAACAAGTTATTTTTGGTGAATGGCCATTCTAATGTTGTGATTAACTATTCAAGCTATCAGCTTCTTTATTGCTATAGTCCACCTGGAGAAAAAAAAAATCTCTTCACTTATCCCTAGAGAAAAGTAACTGACTTGCTAATTTTTATGTAAGGCAGTAAGATGTACCCTATAAATATATATACCTACTATGTAGGTACAAAATTTAAAAAATTACAAAAAGAAAGAAAATATTGACAAAAGTTAACAACTTTTTATTGGGAACCCCTTCTATGTCTGACATTCTACTGGATGTCAGATCAAAAAATGGGTAAGACATGGCCCCATATGTAGAAACTAGATCTGGGTCTCTGCAGCGTTTAGGTAAAATATGTTTGGATAATGTTGGATATACCCACATCAGTTGAAGTCTGTATAGAAATCTTAAAATTAGATTAATTCTATAATTACTCCAATTTTCTATTCAGGCTATCACAATGATATTGATCTGATATACAAATAACTGAACTGGGAATGAGATAATCCAAATAGTAGTTTGTATCACTTACTTGTCACATCACATACCTATCTCCAAAGCTAGAATGTAAGGTCCTTCATGGCGGAAACTGCATCATTTATTTCTATATGCACAGCCTTTAACAAAGTTTCTGGCAAGCAGATAGCATTAAACTAACATTGCTGAATCAATGACTGCTAGATTTTAATTCTAATCTAAAAAGTTATATATTGTAGTTCTTAATCTTTTCTAATTCATGGACTCCTTTGAGAACTGGAAGAAAACCGTATCTTTACCAGAGACAAATGCACAGAACATAGTATTATACAGGTTATTTTAGGGGGTACCCTGAATTCCATCTTTGATCTATATGCTTAGAATTTTATACAGAAATTTTAAAATTTGGTATTTTCCTGTCTCAGAACTAACAATCTATTTAACTTTCTAGTTTATGTATTCATAGTTACCCTTAACCTGTTAAATCTTCAAAAATTTATTTTGCAATAAAAAATGCTCTTGAAGACTACTATCCAAATTACACTAGTTCCATTGCCAGTTCTGCTACTAGCCACCTGTATGACTTTCGATACGTCCCATAAGTAATCTGGGCTTTAGTTCTAGACCTGTAAATTTAGGAATTTGAGCTAAAATGATTTCTAATGCTCCTTATGGCTCTGATATTCTCAGTTCCAAAGCACTGGAGTTCCTCCGATGAAGAAAGGAATATGTGTAATGTAAATAATGACTTTACAATCTGCCATGAGGGGGAGGCATGAAGCATCAGATTTAATGATTTAAAAATGACTTAAATAAACTCTTTGCAGATATCTGCAGGAATCTAAGCATCAGATCTACAGCTTAGACATATACCAATTTTGAGGGCCACCTAGATTTTCAGTTCTTAAGGAAGAAAATGGTCTTTCTCCCCATTGACTACTGGCTTTTAACATAATCTAAATATTCAGAATATCCCATCACCCAAAATTACTTCTGATATCCAAGTGTACAATAAATTAGCTGTTCCTAGGCATGAACAGTTGAGCCAAGCTTTTGACATTCACAGCAAAAGAGAATTATGAATTTGAGTTTGGAGCAAGGCATGCAACAGAGAGAGGGAGACACCTTTCCAAAAAGGGAGACTAGAAATCTACCCTGTTTTAGAGTTTCTATAAAATAAAACTTGGGCAAGAAAAGACACCAGAACCAAGAATGATATATTCTTTCTGTGAGACTATATTCTCTTCTTGACCTCAGATATAATATGCTATGACATCAGTGCATGCAGGGCAGTATTCTGTTAGATTCATCTTTTAAAAATGCCTCTTAAATAATTTCATTCCCTGCTCCAAAATCCCAAGTACTTTACCACTCACCAAAAGAATAAAGTCTAAGCTTCTGTCTGTGAACATAAGGCCAACCAACCATCTGATCTCAATGGACATTAATTTTTCCTGTTATCCCCATACTGAGTGACCTATTTTAGACAAGTTAGTCATCCATGTCCTGCCAACATATCCAAACTTGACTTCTTCCATGTCATGCTCAGATCACTGTCCTTTCCAGCAATATCCTATTAAACACAGAGTTCCAGTTCCAGTAATGGGAGACAAGGAATTATCATCAACGTTCTTGATGAAAATATAGCTAGATAAAAGTTTAAGGGAACATCCATTCGAAGGTATCACTGAGCTTAAGTTGGGAACAGGCCCCCCAGAATCTGGCCATAAACTGGCCCCAAAACTGGCCATAAACAAATTCTCTGCAGCACTGTGACATGCTCATGATGGTCATGATGCCCAGGCTGGAAGGTTGTGGGTTTACCAGAATGAGGGCAAGGAACAGCTGGCCCGCCCAGGGCAGAAAACCACTTAAAGGTGTTCTTAAACCACGAACAATAGCATGAGTGATCTGTGCCTTAAGTACGTGCTCCTACTGCAGATAACTAGCCAAATCCATCCCTTTATTTCATCCCATCCCTTTGTTTCCCATCAGGAATACTTTTAGTTAATCTATAATCTGTAGAAACAATGCTTATCACCAGCTTGCTGCTAATAAATATGTGGGTAAATCTCTGTTTGAGGCTGTCAGCTCTGAAGGTTGTGAGATCCCTGATTTCCCACTTCACACCTCTATATTTCTGTGTGTATGTCTATAATTCCTCTAGCACCACTGGATTAGGGTCTCCCTGACCGAGCTGGTCTTGGCAGCTTATAAAGAAAGAGTGAAGAATTACAGGCCAATATCTGGGAGACAAAGAAAAACCAGATAACTGAGCTTGCTTTTACCCAGGTTATCTACCAGTTCTGCAAGTGCCTGCTTAGACACTGAGAAGCTGTTCAGAGCTCTTGACAGTCAAAGCAAAAGAGAAATATGAATGTGATTTCAGAGCAACAAAGGAAGAAGAGGGAGACTTACCAAAAGGGGTGGACTAGAAATCAACCCTGAAATCAACCACCTTGCAAAAAGGGGTGGACTAGAAATCAACCCTGTTTACGAGCCTAAAGCCCAGGCATATCAATTCCAATCCTAATTGGGTAAGATGATCTGATGACTGTGAGAAATAAAAATGAATCTTCTGCAAAGGATAAGACAGAAAACAAAATTTTATGCTCACGTCATCTCTAAGTCTTTCATATACTGTACCCTGAACCCAATTTAAAAAATTACCAGCTACTGAGGAGAACATTTTATAAAGCCAAGAAAAACAACATACGATAGAAATAAACCCATAAGAGACCTTCATAATAGACTCATAAGACATAGATTTTAAGTTAACTACATAAGTTCAAAAAATAGATTGGGATTTTCTCCAAAAATAGGAAAGGAGAACTCATTAAAATCCTAAAAATGAAAAATAAAATAACTGATATTAAAGAGATAAAATTAAAAGCAGATTAGACAGAGCAAAAGGGCAATTTAATGAATTTCAAGAAAGGTCAGAGAAAATATCAATAATGAAGGATCAATATTTAAAAAGGCCAAAAGCACAGAAAAAGATATAACAGACAAAAGGAACAGGAGGGAAAGGAGTGTAAGAAGAATGCAGTGGGAAAAAAATGTAACATATCTGTAATTACAACCCCAGGAAAAAAGAGATACAAGAAAATGTAATGGAAGCAGTATTTTAAAATTTAATGGCTGAGAATTCTACAAAACTGAGGAAATACATCACTACAATTTTTAAGAAAGTATGAACTCTAAACATGATTAATGCAATGAAAACCCACTAAAACACATAAAGTTGTCAAAATAAAAAACTAAGTGATTTTTTTTTTACTTTAAGTTTAGGGGTACATGTGCAGGATGTGCAGGTTTGTTATATAGGTAAATGTGTGTCATGGGGGTTTGTTGTACCAATTATTTCATCACTGAGGTACTATGCTCTGTACCCAATAGCTATTTTTTCCTAATCCTTTCCCTCCTCCTATCCACCACCCTCCAATAGGCCCCAGTGTCTGTTGTTCCCCTCGTTGAATCCATGTGTTCTAATCATTAGCTTCCACTTATAAGAACACATGGCATTTGGTTTTCTGTTCCTGCATTAGTTTGCTGAGGATACTGGCCTCCAGCTGCATCCACAACCCTGCAAAGGACATGTTCTCATTCTTTTTTATGGCTGCATAGCATTCCATGGTGTATATGTACTACATTTTCTTTATCCAATCCGCCAGTGATGGGCATTTAGGTTGATTCCATATCTTTGCTATTGTGAATAGTGCTGCAATGAATGTACATATGCATGTGTCTTTACGGCAGAATGATTTATCTTCCTTTGGGTATATACCCAGTAATGGTTGGATTGATGGGTCTAATGGTAGTCCTGTTTGTTGCTCTTTGAGGAATCACCACACTGCTTCTACAATGGTTGAACTGATTTATACTCCCATCAACAGTATATAAGAGTTTGCTTTTCTCTGCAACCTTGCCAGCAACTTTTATTTTTTTTAACTTTTTAATAGTAGCCATTCTGACTGGTGTGACATGGTATTTCATTGTGGTTTTGCTTTGCATTTTTCTAATGATTAGGGATGTTGAGCTTTTCTGTTTATATGGGTTTTGGCTGCCTGTATGTCTTCTTTTGATAAGTGTCTGTTCACTTCCAAAGTGATTATTTTTAAAAGCTGGAGGAATAAAAGACAACTCGCTTTCAAACAATCGAAAATAGAATTGGAGCTAAGTTCAACAAAATTAATCACAGAAGCTATAACTGCCAATCTAATATTCCAAAACCAGCAAATATTTTCCCAGAAAAATAAATGTAAAAGAAAATACTTTTTAGAAAAATAAAAGCAGGAACTTTATTATCAAAGAAATAGTACAGGAATTTCCTTAGGCAGAAGAAAAAAATTATCCCAGGGAGAAGCTCAGAGATACAATAAATGAAGAGCAACCTAAAGAATAAACGTGTAGGAAATTGAAATAAATATTCGAAGTCAAAAACATTAGCAATAATGGACTGTGAGGCTTAAACATATATTTAATATACACTCCTAAACAACAGTGTAAGTGAGAAAGGAGGTAAAAAGACTTAAAGAATTTTAGAATTCTTACAGTCTCAGGGAAGAGAGAAAAACAAACTTATAGCAAACATTAAGTCAAGGATGAATACTATGACAACTATTAAAAAAAGTAAAATTATATACAAATAATAAGCTAATAGAGGATGAAAGCATGTAACGAAAAATTAATCCAGGCAAAGAAAAGAGGAAAAATGCTGAACATCATCAAATATAGAGTGAGGATGTAGAATTAAAACCACACATATCAGTATTTAGGGTAAATTTCAAGATGTTATATTTCCAAATGCTAACACAATCATAATGTTTAAAATATTAAACTCAACTCTGTGCAGTTTCAAGAGACATCTCAAAGATATAAAGATACAGAACTTATGAAGATAGAAGGGTTAAAAAATATCATGAAGAAAACTAAACAAAAGGAAACAAAAGGAAGCTTGTATAGTTATAGTAAACAGGCATACTGTTAGACAAAAAGCCTTAATAGAAATAAAGAAGACCATGTTATACAATACCTAACAATCTAAATATACATGCATCTAATGCATGAACACCCAGATTCAGAAAGCAAGTTCTTAGAGACCTTCAAAGAGATTTAGACCCCCATGCAATAATAGTGGGAGACTTTAACATTCCATTGACAATATTAGACAAATCATCAAGACAGGAAATTAACAAATATAATCAGGTCCTGAACTCAACACTTGGTCAAATAGACCTGACAGACATCTACAGAACTCTCCACCCAGAAACAACAGATATACAATTTTTCTCATCACCATACAGCACATACTCTAAAATCGATCACATAATCAGAAATAAAACTCTCTTCAGCTAGGCCAGGTGTGGTGGCTCATGCCTGTAATCCCAGTACTTTGGGAGGCTGAGGCCGGTGGATCACGAGGTGAGGAGATCAAGACCATCCTGGCTAACACGGTGAAACTCCATCTCTACTAAAAATACAAAAAAAATTAGTCGGGCATAGTGGTGGGTGCCTGTAGTCCCAGCTACTCTGGAGGCTGAGGCAGGAGAATGGCATTAACCCAGGAGGCAGAGCTTGCAATGAGCCGAGACAGCACCACTGCACTCCAGCCTGGGTGACAGAGCGAGACTCTGTCTCCAAAAAAAAAAAAAAAAAAAAAAAACTATTCAGCTAAATGGAAAAAACTGAAATCCTAACAATCTATTTCGTAGATCACAGCATAATCAAATTAGAAATCAGGACTAAGAAATTTACTCAAAACCATACAATTACTTGGAAACGAAATAATCTACTCTTGAATTACTTTTGGGTAAACAATGAAATTAAGGCAGAAATCAAGACATTATTTGAAAGTAACTATAACAAAGATACAACATACCAGAATCTGGGGACACAGCTAAGGCAATGTTGAGAGGGAAATTTATAGCACTAAATGCCCACATCAAAGTTAGAGAATCTCAATTTAACAACCTAGGGTCACAATGAAAAGAAATAGAGAAACAAGAGCAAACTAACCCCAAGGCTAGAAGAAGACAAGAAATAACCAAAATCAGAGGTGAACTGAAGGAGACTGAGACATGCAAAATCATTCAAAAGATCAATGAATCCAGGAGCTAGTTTTTTTTAATTAAGAAAATAGATAGACCACTAGCTAGACTAATAAGAAAAAAAAGAAGATTCAAATAAACACAATCAGAAGTGACAAGGGGGATAATACCACTGATCACACAGAAATACAAACACCAGAGAACATTATGAACACCTTTATGCACGTAAACTAGAAAATCTAGAAGCAGTGGATAAATTCCTAGACACATAGACCCTCTTACAACTGAAGAAGGAAGAAACTGAATCACGGAATAGACCAATGACAAGTTCTGAAATTGAGGCAGTAATAAATAGCCTACTAACCAAAAAAACTTCATAATCAGAAGACCTCACAGCTATGTTCTACCTGATGTACAATGACGACATGATACAATTCCTGTTGAAACTATTCCATAAATGTTAAGGAGAAGGGGCAGGGCCAAGATGGCCGACTACAAACAGCAGTTGTCAGAGGCTCCTATGGAAAAGAACCATAATTAGCATGTGAATCCTTCACCAGCAACCAGGGTATCCAGGTTCTCTCATCAGAACTGACTAGGTGGCTGGCATGATGCATGGAGAGGAAGCAAGGGCAGTGTGGTACAGTGGCCCATCTGAGAGCCACACAGGGCAGGGGAGATCCCACCCCACGGCCCCCAGCCAAGGGAGGCAGTGAGGTAGTGTGCTAACCAGCCAGGGAAACCATGCTTTTTCCACAGAACTTTACAACCCACTCACAAACCCATGTCAGCAGGTCCTAGGATCCCAAACTTGGAGCCCTGCAGATCCTCAAAAGCCTCTTAGCTGGAACCTGCCTAAGCCTCCTGAGCTCCTGAGAGGAGAGGAGACCAGCACCACAGTTGCAGCTGCCTGCTAAGCCCTTTGAGCTCCTGGGGGAGGGGCAGCAGCCAGCACTGGGGCTCATAAATGCCTAACATGCTAAGCTCCCTGGAATGGGGAAGGGTAGCATTCATCTCTATAGCTCCAGGCCATGCATTTCCCCTGCTGGAGCCAGGGAAGCTGGATGGCTTGGTCCCAAGAGGTGTCCCCCACAGTCCAAAACACTGGCTGTGGCAGACTGCGGCCAGACTGCCTCTACAGGCCTGACCCTGACCCATCCTTCTTCACTGGGTGGGGCTTCCCAGCAGGAACTCCAACTCCAGCCAGAGGCTTATGGACAGAACCTTGATCTCCAAGGGCCTGAGCCCTAGAGGGAGGGGTGGCCACACACTCTGGACCAGCAGACTTAGACTTTCCTCCTGGCAGCTCCAGACAAGTAGGTTTCACACCAGTGAAGCACACCCCCTCCACCAAGAGACAGTCAAGTGCTTCATTAAATGGGTCCTGTTCCCCATGCCACCCAGCTGGGTGAGACCGACTGACAAGGGTTGTCAGACAGCCTATAGAGGAATGATCCTACTGGCATCAGGTTGGTGTTACTTGAGGTCAGAGATCCCAGAAGGAGGAGGCACCCATCTTTGCTGTTCTCCAGCTTCCTTGAGTGACATCTCCAGGCACAGTAGCGAACCAGATGAACAGGGCCTGAAGTGAACCCCCAGCAAACCATAGCAGTCCTACAGAACAGAGACCTGACCCTTGAAAGAAAAACAAAGCATAACAGCATCAACAAAAAAAAGTCCCCACAAAAAGCCCATCCAAAGCAGCAGCCTCAAAGATCAAAACTAGACAAACTCATGAAGCTGAGAAAGAATCAATGATTAAATGCTGAAAACCCAAAAGGCCAGACTGCCTCTTCTCCTCCAAATGATTGCAGTGCCTCTCTAGCAAGGATGCAGAACTGGAAGGAGCATGAGATGGATGAATTGATAGAAGTAAGTTTCAGAAGATGGGTAATAAAAAACTCTGCTGAGGTAAAGGAGCATGTTGTAACCCAATGCAAAGAACTTAAGAAACTTGATAAAAAGTTAGAGGAGCTGCTAACTATAATAATCAGTTTAGAGAGGAACATAAATAATCTGATAGAGCTGAAAAACACAGCATGAGAACTTCGTGAAGCATACACAAGTATCAGTAGCTGAATTGATTAAGCAGAAGAAAGGATATCAGAGATTGAAGATCAACTTAATGAAATAAGACATGCAGACAAGAATAGAGAAAAAAGAATAAAAAGGAACGAACAAAGCTTCCACTAAATATGGGACTTCACAAAAAGAACAAACCTATGATTGATTAGAGTACGTGGAGGAGATGGGGATAATGGAAAGAAGGTAGAAAACACACTTCAGGATATTATCCAGGAGAACTTCCCCAACCTAGCAAGACAGGCCAACATGCAAATTCAGAAAATACAGAGAATACCACTAAGATACTCCAGGAGAAGATCAACCCATAATCATCACATAATCAACACATAATCATCAGATTCTCCAAGGTCAAAATGAAGGAAAAACTGTTAAGGGCAGCCAGAAAGAAAGGCCAGGTAACCTACAAAGGGAAGCCCATCAGGCTAACAGCAGACCTCTCAGCAGAAACTCTACAAGCCAGAAGAGATTGGGGGCCAGTATTCAACATTCTTAAAGAAAATCATTTTCAACCCAGAATTTCATATCCAGCCAAACTACGTTTCATTCACAAGCAAAGGAGAAACAAAATCCTTTCCAGACAAACAAATGTTGAGGGATTTTGTTACCACCAGGCCTGCCTTGCAAGAGCTCCTGAATGAAGCACTAAATATGGAAAGGAAAAACCGGTACCAACCACTGCAAAAACACACCCAAATACAAAGACCAATGACCCTCTGAAGAAACCACATCAACTAGTGTGCAAAATAACCAGACAGCATCATGATGACAGGATCAAATTCAAACATAACAATACTAACCTTATTGTTAGTTAAATTAAAAGACACAGATTGGCAAATTGGATAAAGAGTCAAGACCCGTCAGTGTGCTGTATTCAGGAGACCCACCTCATGTGCAAAGACACACATGGGCTCAAAATAAAGAGATGGAGGAAAATTTGCCAACAAAATGGAAACCAAAAGAAAGCAGGGGTTGCAATACTAGTCTCTGACAAAACAGACTTTAAACAACAAAGATCAAAAAAGACAAAGAAAGGCATTACATAATGGTAAAGGGAACAATTCAACAAGAAGAGCTAACTATTCTGAATATATATGCATACAATACAGGAGCACCCAGATTCATAAAACCAGTTCTTGGAAACATACAAAGAGACTTAGACTCCCACACAATAATAGTGGGAGACTTTAACACCCCACTGTCAATACTAGACAGTTCAGAGAAAAAGAAAATTAAGAAGGTTATTCAGGAATTGAACTCAGCTCTTGATCAAGTAGACCTAATAGATATCTACAGAACTCTCCACCCCAAGCCAACAGACTATACATTCTTCTCAGTGTCACATGGCACTTATTTTAAAATTGACTACATAATGGGAAATAAAACACTCCTCAGCAAATGCAAAAGAGCTGAAATCCTAACAAACAGTCTCTCACACCACAATGCAATCAAATTAGAACTCAGGATTAAGAAATTCACTCAAAACCACACAATTACACGGAAATTGAACAACCTGCACCTCAATGACTCCTGGGTAAATAATGAATTTAATGTAGAATCAAGAATTTCTTTGAAACCCATGAGAACAAAGAGACAATGTACCGGAATCTCTGGGACACCACTAAAGCAGTGTTAAGTGGGAAATTTACACCACTAAATGCCCACATTAGAAAGCTAAAAGATTACAAATCTACACCATAACATCACCTATTAAAAGAGCTAGAGAGGAAAGAGCAAACTAATCCAAAAACACCAGAAATAACTAAGATCAAAGCTGAACAGTAGAAGATAGAGACATGAAAAACCCTTCAAAAAAATCAACGAATCCAGGAGCTTTTAAAAAAAAATTAATAAAATGGATGGCTAGCTAGACTAATAAAGAAGAATCAAATAGACACAATAAATAAAAGATGATAAGGGGATATCACCACTGACCCCACAAAAATACAAACTACCATCAGAGAATACTCTAAACACCTCTACACAAATAAACTAGAAAATCTAGAAATGGATAAATTCCTGGACACATACACCCTCCCAAGACTAAACCAGCAAGAAGTTGAATACCTGAATAGAGAGTAACAAGTTCTGAAATTGAGGCAGTAATTAATAGCCTACCAATAAAAAAAACACAGATCCAGATGGATTCACAGCCTAATTTTACCAGAAATACAAAGAGTAGCTGGTATCATTTTTTCTAAAACTATTCCAAACAACTGAAAAAGAGGGACTCATTTTAAGAAGCCAGCATCATCCTGATACCAAAACTGGGCAAAGATAACAAAAAAAGAAAACTCCAGGCCAATATCCCTGATGAACATTGATGCCAAAATCCTCAGTAAAGTACTGGCAGACTGAATCCAGCAGCACAAAAATCTTCTCCACCACAATCAAGTCAGCTTCATCCCTGGGATGCAAAGCTGGTTCAACATATGCAAATCAATAAATGTTATCCATCACATAAACAGAACCAAAGACAAGAACCACATGATTATCTCAATAGATGCAGAAAAGGCCTTTGATGAAATTCAATATCGCTTCATGTTAAAAACTCTCAATAAACTAGGTACTGATGGAACATATTTCACAATAATAAGAGCTATTTATGAAAAATCCACAGCCAATATCATATTGAATGGGTAAAAGCTAGAAGTGTTCCCTTTGAAAACCAGCACAAGACAAGGATGCCCTCTTGCACCACTCTTATTCAACATATTATTGGAAGTTTTGCCCAGGGCAATCAGGCAAGAGAAAGAAATAAAGCGTATTCAAGTAGGAAGAGAGGAATGTGAATTGTCTCTGTTTGTAGATGACATGATTTTATATTTAGAAAATCCCATCATCTCAGCCTAAAGCTCCTTACACTTATAAGCAACTTCAGCAAAGTCTCAGGATACAAAATTAATGTGCAAAAATCACAAGCCTTGCTTTACACCAACAATAGACATGCAGACGGCCAAATCATGAATGAACTCCCATTCACAATCACTACAAAGAGAATAAAATGTCTAGGAATACAGCTAACAAGAGATATGAAGGACCTCTTCAAGGAGAACTACAAACCACTGCTCAAGGAAATCAGAGAGGACACAAACGAATGGAAAAACACTCCATCCTCATGGATAGGAAAAATCAATATTGTGAAAATGGCCATCCTGCCCAAAGTAATTTACAGATTCAATACTATTCCCATCACACTACCATTGACTTTCTTCAAATAATTAGAAAAAGCACTTTAAATTTCATTTAGAATCAAAGAAGACCCCATATAGCCAAGACAATCCTAAGCAAAAAGAACGAAGCTGGAGGTATCACACTACCTGACTTCAAACTATATTACAAGGCACCAGTAAACAAAACAGCATGATTCTGGTACCAAAATAGACATATAGACCAATGGAACAGAAAAGAGACCTCAGAAATAACACCATACATCTACAACCATCTGATCTTCAACAAGCCTGACAAAAGCAATGTGGAAAGAATCTCCTCTTCATAAATGATGCTGGGAAAACTGGCTAGCCATATGCAGAAAACTGAAACTGGATTTCTTCCTTATACCTTATACAAAAATTAACTCAAGATGGAATAAAGACTTAAACGTAAAACCCAAAACTATAAAAACCCTAGAAGAAAACCCAGGCAATGCCATTCAGGACATAGGCATGGGCAAAGACTTCATGACGAAAATGCCTAAAGCAATTGCGACAAATGCCAAAAGTGACAAATGAGATCTAGTTAAACTAAAGAGCTTCTGCACAGCAAAAGAAACTACCATCAGAGTAAACAGGAAGCATACAGAATGGGAGAAAATTTTTGCAATCTACCCATCTGACAAAGGGCTAATGTCCAGAATCTACAAACAACTTAAACAAATTTACAAGAAATAAATAAACAACCCCATCAAAAAATGAGCAGAAGATATGAAGAGACACTTCTCAAAAGAAGACATTTACATGGCTAACAAACATATGAAAAAGAGCTCAATATCATTGATCATTAGAGAAATGCAAATAAAAACCATAATGAGATACCATCTCATTACAGTCAGAATGGCTATTATTAAAAAGTCAGTAAATAACAGATACTGGTGTGGCTGTGGAGAAATAGGAATGCTTTTACACTGTTGATGGGAACGTAAATTAGTTCAACCACTGTGGAAGACAGTATGGGATTCCTCAAGGATCTAGAAACAGAAATACCATTTGACCTAGCAATCTCATTACTGGGTATATACCCAAAGGAATATAAATCATTCTACTATAAAGACACATGCACATGTTTGTTGACTGCAACACTATTAACAATAGGAAAGTCATGGAGCCAACCCAAATGCCCGTCAATGATAGACTGGAGAAAGAAAATGTGGTACAGATACATCACGAAATACTACAAAGCCATAAAAAGGAGTGAGATCATGTCCTTTGCAGGGACATGGATGAAGCTGGAAGCCATCATCCTCAGCAAACTAACACAGGAACAGAAAACCAACCACCACATGTTATCACTCATAAGTGGGAGTTGAACAATGAGAACACATGGACACAGGAAAGTGAACAACACACAAGGGCCTGTTGGGGGTTGGGGAGCAAGGGGAGGGAACTTAGAGGATGGGTCAATAGGTGCAGCAAACCACTATGGCACACATATACCTATGTAACAAACCTGCATGTTCTGCACAGGTATCCCAGAACTTAAAGTCAAAAAAAAAATTGAAGAGGAGGAAGTCCTCCCTAATGCATTCTGTGTGGCCAGCATCATCCTGATACCAAAACCTGGCAAGCACACACACACACACACATACACACGTGCATGTGCATACACACACACACACACACACACACACACACACACACACACACACACACACAACTTCAGGTCAATATCCTCAATGAACATCAATGCAAAAATCATCAAGGAAATACTGGCAAACCAAACCTAACAGCATATCAAAAACTTGTCTACCATGATCAAATAGGCTTTATCCCTGGGATTTAAGGTTGGTTCAACATGCACAAATCAATAAATGTGATTTATCGCATAAACAGAACTAAAGACAATAAGCACATAATTATCTTAATAGTTGCAGAAAAGACTTTACATTAAATTGAACACTTCTTCATGTTAAAAACTCTTTAAAACTCATGACGAACTAGATATTGAAGGAACATGCCTCAAAATAATAAGAGCCATACATGGAAAACCCACAGCTGATATCATACTGAATGGGCAAAACCTGGAAGCATTCCCCTTGGAAACTGGCACAAGACAAGAATGCCCTCTCTCACCACTACTATTAACATAGTATTAGAACCTAGAGAGAGCCATAAGGCAAGAGAAAAAAAATAATGGGCATCCAAACAGGAAGAGAGGAGGTCAAACTATTCCTCTTTGTAGTTGACATGATCCTATATCTAGAAAATCCCATAGTCTTGGCTCAAAAGATCCTTAACCTAATACGCAACTTCTCCAAAGTCTCAGGATATAAAATCAATGTAAAAATCACTAGCACTCCTATACCCCAAAAAACAGTAAAGCCAAGAGCCAAATCAGAAATGCAATCCCATTTGCAATTGCCAGCAACAAAACAAAAAGAACAGCAGCAACAACAACAACAAGAAACACAAAAACCTTAGGAACACGTCTAAGTATGGAGATGAAAGATCTCCACAAGGAAAGCTACAAAACACTGCTAAAAGAAATCAGAGATGGTCCAAACAAATGGAAAAACATTCCATGCTCATGGATAGAAAGAATCAATATTGTGAAAATGGCTATACTGCCCAAAACTATTTATAGATTTAATGATATGCCTTTTAAACTATGAATGACATTTTTAAAGGACTAGGCAAAACTATTTTAAGATTCATATGGAACCAAAAAAGAGCCCAAGGTAACGAAGGCAATCCTAAGCAACAAGAACAAAGCTGGAGGCATCATGCTAACCAACTTAAAACTATACTACAGGGCTATAGTAACCAAAACAGCATGACACTGGTACAAGAACAGAGACATAGACTAATGGAACACAATAGAAAAACCAGACATAAGATCACACACCTAAAACTATCAGATATCTGACAAAGGAGACAAAAAATAAGCAATGGGGAAAGGATACACTATTTAATAAATGGTGCTTGGAAAACTGGCTAGCCATATGCAGAAAAATGAAACTGGCCTCCTTCTTTAGACCTTATAAAAATTTACTCAAGATGGATTAAAGACTTCACAGAACTTGGAAAAACTCTTTTAAAATTCTGATGGAACCAAAAAAGATCCCAAGTAGCCAAGGCAATCCTAAGCAGAAAGAACGAAGCTAGAGGCAGCATGCTACTCAACAACAAACTATACTACAGAGCTATGGTAATCAAAACAGCATGGTACGGGTACCAGAACAGACACATAGACCAATGTAATGGAACTGATAACCCAGGAAAAGACCACACATTGACAACTACCCAATTTTTGACGAACCTTACAAAAACAAGCAGTGAAAAAAGGATTCCCCATTCAATAAATGGTGCTGGGATAACTGGCTAGCCATATACAGAAGACTGAAACACTAGACTGCCAAGACCTGCTTGGTCTGGGAGACCCTAACCCAGCGCTGCTAGAGGAATTAAAGACACACACCCAGAAATATAGAAGTGTGAAGTGGGAAATCAGGGGTCTCACAGCCTTCAGAGCTGAGAGCCCCGAACAGAGATTTACCCACATATTTATTAACAGCAAGCCAGTCATTAGCATTGTTTCTATAGATATTAAATTAACTAAAAGTATCCCTTATGGGAAATGAAGGGATGGGCTGAATTAAAGGAATAGGTTGGGCTAGTTAACTGCAGCAGGAGCATGTCCTTAAGGCACAGATCGCTCATGCTATTGTTTGTGGCTTAAGAACACCTTTAAGCTGTTTTCCACCCTGGGCAGGCCAGGTGTTCCTTGCCCTCATTCTGGTAAACCCACAACCTTCCAGAGTGGGTGTTATGGCCATCATGAACATGTCACAGTGCTGCAGAGATTTTGTTTATGGCCAGTTTTAGGGCCAGTTTATGACCATATTTTGGGGGACCTGTTCCCAACACTAGACCTCTTCCTCACACAATATACAAAAATTAAGTCAAGATAAAGACTAAAATGCAAACCCCAAAACTATAAAAACCCTGGAAAACAACCTAGGCAATACCATTAGGGACATAGGCATGAGCAAATATTTCATGATGAAGATGCCAAGAGCAATTGTAACAATCAAAAATTGACAAATGGGATCTAATTAAAGAGCTTCTGTACAGCAAAAGAAACTATTATCAGAGTGAACAGAGAACCTACAGAACGGGAGAAAAATTTTGCAAATTATGCATCTGACAAAGGTCTAATATCCAGCATCTATAAGTAGCTTAAACAAATGCACAAGAAAAAACAACCCCATTAAAAATTAGGCAAAAGACATAAACAGCCACTTTTCAAAAAATGACATACATGCAGGTAACAATCACAGAAAAGAAAGCTCAGCATCACTGATCATTAGTGAAATGCAAATCAAAACCACAATGAGATACCAACAGTCAGAATGGCTACTATTAAGTCTAAAAGTAACAGATCCTGGTGAGGCTGTAGAAAAAGAGAAATGCTTACACACTGTTGGTGGGAGTGTAAATTAATTCAGCCATTATGTAAGATAGTGTGGTGATTACTCAAAGACCTGAAAAAAGAAATACCATTCGACCCACAATCTTATTACTGGGTATACACCCAAAGGAATATAAATTTTTCTGTCATAAAGACACATGCACATGTATGTTCATTGCAGCACTATTCACAATAGCAATGACATGGAATCAACCTAAATGCCCATCAATGATAGACTGGATAAATAAAATGTGGTACATATACATCACAGAATACTATGCAGCTATAAAAAAGAAAGAGATCATGTCCATTGCAGGAACATGGATGGAGCTGGAGTCCATTATCCTTAGCAAACCAACACAAGAACAGAAAATCAAATACTGCATATTCTCACTTACAAATGGAAGCTAAATGATGAGAACACATGAACACATAGAGGTGAGCAACACATGCTGGGGCCAATTTAAGGGTTGGTGGTGGGTGGGAAGAGGGAGATGATCAGGAAAAATAGCAAATGGGTACTAGGATTAATACCTAGGTGACAAAATAATCTGTACAACAAACCCCCATGATTAAAGTTTAACTATATAACAAACCTGCTGTATTAGTCTGTTATCACACACTTATAGAGATGCTACACAAGACTTGATAATTTACAAAGGAAAAATGTTGACTCCCAGTTACACATACCTGGGGAGGCCTCAGGAAACTTACAACCATGGCAGAAGGGAAAGCAGGCACCTTCTTCATAAGGCAGCAAGAGAGAGAAGTGCCAGCAGGAGAAATGCCAGATACTTATAAAACGATCAGATCTTGTGAGAACTCACTCACTATCACGAGAACAGTAGGGGGGAAACTGCCCCCATGATCCGATCACCTCTCTCCACCAACACGTGGGGGATTACAGGTCCCTCCCTTACACATGGGGATTAAAATTCAAGATGAGATTTGTCTGGGGACACAGAGCCAAACCATATCATTCTGCCCCTGGCCCCTCCCAAATCTCATGTATTTTATACATTTCAAAATGAATTATGCCTTCTCAACATACACCAAAGTCTTAACTCATTCCAACAATAACTGAAAAGTCCAAGGCAAAGTCTCATCCAAGACAAGGCAAGTTTTCAAAACCAATCATTCCTTCCCAACAATTCCTCAAGTCTTAACTCATTCCAGCATTAACCCAAAAGTCCAAGTCCAAAGTCTCATCTGAGACAAGGCAGCCCCTTCCATCTATGACCCTGTAAAATAAAAAACAAGTTAGTTACTTCCAAGATACAATGGGAGTACAGCCATGGGATAAATGTTCCCATTCCAAAGGGAGAAAGTGGCCAAAAAAGGGGGACAGGCCCCATGCAAGTCTGAAATCCAGTGGAACAGTCATTAAATATTAAAGCTCTAAAATGCCCTCCTTTGCCTCTCACATCCAGGACATGCTGATGTAAAGGGGTGGGCTCCCATGACCTTGGGCATCTCCTTCAAGGGCTGGCATTGAGTGCTTGCAGCTTTTCTAGGTGCACAGCGCAAGCTGTTCATGGATCTACCATTCTGGGGGCTGGAGGATGGTGGCCCTCTTCTCACAACTCCACTAGGCAGTACCCCAGGGGGCTTCTATGTTGGGGTTCCAACCCCACATTTCCCTTCTGCACTTCCCTACCAGAGGTGCTCCATGAGGGCTCCATTCCTGCAGCAAACTTTTGCCTGGACATCCAACTGTTTCCATACATCCTCTGAAATCTAGGTGGAGGTTCCCAAACCTCAATTTTTCATTTCTGTGCAACCACAGGCTCAACACCACATGGAAACCACCAAAGCTTGGGGCTTGCACCCTCTGAAGCAATGGCTGAGCTGTACCTTGGCCCATTTTAGCCATGGCTGGAGCTGAAGCAGCTGGGACACAGGGCACCACGTTCTGAGGCTACACAGAGCAGGGAGCGGGGCCCTAAGCCCAGGCCATGAAACCATTTTTCCTTCCTAGGCCTCCAGACCTCTGATAGGAGGGTTTACCACCAAGATCTCTGACGTGCCCTAGAGACATTTTCCCCCTTTGACTTGGCTACTAACATTCAGGTCATCATTACTTTTGCAAATTTCTGCAGCAGGCTTCAATTTCTCCCCAGAAAATCAGTTTTTCATTTCTATCACATCGTCATGCTGCAAATTTTCCACAATATTTTGCTCTACTTCTCTTTTGAACATAAGTTTCAATTTCAGATCATCTCTCTCAAGTTCAAAGTTCCACAGATCTCTAGGGCAAAGGAAAATCCTTCCAGTCTCTTTGCTAAAGCATAGCAAGAGTGACCTTTACTCCAGCTCCCAAGAAGTTCCTCATCTCCATTTGAGACCTCCTCAGCCTAGACTTCATTGTTTATACCACTATCAGAATTTTGGTCAAAACCATTCAACGAGTCTTCACCAGAGATTCTAACACACTTCTCTCAGTAGTTTCTAAGATCAAGCAGACCAAAAAATAATAATTCAACAATGTTTTAAAAGATTTAACCAACAAAATGAATAAGCTAGACACAATTGAGTGTATTAATCACTGAAAAATATGTATTATTTGTAAGTAAAAACAGAACATTTACAAAAATTGACCTTATGCTGTCTACAAAGAGTGTCTCTAAAATTGGTAAAGGATATGAATCAGACAGACTTTGCTCTGACCATAGTGGAATAAAGCTAGAAATAGCTCTTTAAAATGTAACTGAAAAAAATCTCTAAATCTTTGGAGGTTAACCAGAACACTGTTAAACAAACCAGGAATCAAAAAAGAAATAATAGAAACCAAACATATGTGAAATGAATTAAGATTAGAAAAAGAGCAAAATTTGTAGGAGGCAGCTAAAGTTTCTTAGAAATGGAATCATAAGTTATCATTTATTGCCTTACATTGTTTTCATATATTAATAGCTATTATTTAAAATAAGGCCATAAAATGAACACTACCAGCAGCTATCCTATTAAATTAGACAAAGGAATGCAAAACAAACTTAAGGATTAATGATAAACAAAGGCAAGAAGTAATATAGATAGGAGTAGAGAGAAATAGGAAAGAAAATTACAAAGAAGAGAGTCAAAGTTAAAAGATTTTTTAGAAACTAATCAAATCAATAAACCCATGGTGAAAATGATTTAAGGAATATGAGCAAAAGAAAAGATAAGCAATATCTAGAATGATAAAGGAGGTTCTAGGACAGATATTACAAACATCACAAAGATAATAAGATAATACTATGAGGATTTTCCTGTGAAAAATACACATCAGTGTTCAGTCGAAATAAAAAAGTTACTTGAAAAAATATTTTATCAAAACTGATATAAGATGTAAAAAACACTAAATGCCCTATAACTATTAGAAAATTAGATCTAAAATTAACAGCATATCAATGAAAAAAATCCAGATCAAGATGGCTTTATCAGTTAGTTCACCAAATATTCAAGAAAAAAATTATCACCAGGCTTAAATTTTTCTACACACTAGAATAAAAGGAAAAATGTCCTTGTTCATCTTATGAGGTTTGCATAACCTTGATACCAAAACCTGTCAAGCATATTAAAGGAAACCATAGGCTGATATAATAATCATAGGTGAAAAATATTTTAATGTCGAATTCAGCTATATATAAAAAGATTAACATATCATGAAGAGTTTGGGCTTATTCTAGGAAAAAGAATGGTTCAAGGTTTGAAAACAGTCACTGTAATTCACACCTCATTAACAGAATAAAGGAGAAAAACCATGATCATCTCAACTAATAAAAAGCATTTAATAAAATTAAACACTCATTCACACTAGTTTTAAAAATAACTAATAGAAAGCTGAGAACAAAAGTAGATTTCTTCATTTGTCAAAGAAGAAAGCATGCACACACAGAAACCTACAGCAAAATTATACTTGATAGAAAATGTTAAAAGTTTTCCTTGAAACATCAGGAATGTTATAGTAATACCCACTAATGCTACTTGTATTAAATACTACACTGGAGGTTATGATCAGTGTAATAAGGGAAGAAAAAAGGAAAAAAAGGTAAAAGAATAAGAGTGGAGGAAACAATACTGTTATTTGTAAATGACATAATTACATATATAAAAATATGTTGAACATTTCTGCTTTCAAGGTCAATATATCAAAAATTAGGACAGGCGCAGTGGCTCAAGCATGCATTCCCAGCACTTTGAAAGGCCAAGGTGGGAGGATCACTTGAGCCTCAGAATTTGAGACCAGCCTGGACAACATAGCAAGATCCTGTCTGTAAAAAAAAGAATTGCTTTCCTATGCCAGCAATCATTAGAAAATGAAATTTAAAAACAGATGTAAATTACAGTTGTACCAAAAATATCAAATACCTAAGATTAATCTATAAAAACATATATAAGATCTCTAATCAAAAAATAAAAACATTATTGAGAGTATTTTTTTTTTTTTTTGAGACAGAGCCTCACTCTGTTGCCCAGGCTGGAGTGCAGTGGCGTGATCTTGGCTCACTGCAGCATCTGCCTCCTGGGTTCAAGCGATTCTTCTGCCTCAGCCTCCCGAGTAGCTGCGACTACAGGCATGTGCCACCATGCCCAGCTAATTTTTATATTTTTAGTAGAGACAGGGTTTCACCATATTGGCCAGGCTGGTCTCGAACTCCTGACCTCATGATCTGCCCGCCTTGGCCTCCCAAAGTGCTGGGGTTACAGGCATGAGCCACCGCACCCAGCCAAGAGTAATTTTTAAAGGACTTCCACAAATGGAGAGTTACTCATGTTCATCAATTAGATAAATCATTATTGTGAAGATTATGTCAGTCATTTCTCCTTAAAATGATCTATAGTTTGAATGCAATCTCAATTAGAATTTAAACAGTCATTTTGGGAGAAAAATAACAAGCTTATCTAAAGTTTACATGAAAATTACAGAGGCCAAGAATATTGAAGGTGTTCCTGAAGAACAATAAGGAATTATTTGTTCTATCAGTTTTCAATTTTTTTAAATAACAAAACAATGGAGTACATAGATTATATTAAAGAATATTCTCATAATCTGAATTACAAAATCAATAATAAAAAGAATACTTAAAATGCAACCCATAAAGGGAAAGATAGCTAAATTAAACTATTCAAGAAAAATTGTATTCATTAAAACACACCACTGAAATGAAAAGACAAGAGAGGGTGGAGAATGAACATTTTCTGTAACTATAAACAACAAAGAATTTTTGAATTTGTGGATTTCTTACCAATGAATAATAAAGACCAACATTGCAATACAAAAAAATAAAGAAGACCTACACATAGACACTCCACAAAAGAGAATATTCAAATGAACAATACATACTTGGAAAGCTCCTAAACCTTATGATTCAACATGGAACTAGAATTTCAAAATGCAATAATATTACCACTACATACCAACAATAGTGGCAATAGTAAAAATTATTGACAACACCCAATGTTTTAGAACATGTACATCAATAGAACATTTATTCTTGGGAGTATAAACTGGTACAACCACCTCAGAAAAGACATCATTATCTATGTAAGTTAAACATGATTGTCGCTTCAGGACCAAGTAATTTCCTTCCTAAGCCTATATGCAACAAAAATACATGCACGTATGTACCAAAAAACGTTTGCAAGAATATGCATAGCAAAATTATTTATTCTACTTTTAAGTTAGAAACAATCCAAATATCAACAGTAGAATGGATAAATTGTGGTATAACCATGCAATGAAATGCTATCAAATAAAACCCCATAGGTACATGCAATGACACTGATGAAGCTCCAAAACTTGATGCTGAGCAAAAGATGGCAACCAAAACACAGTATGCAGTATATTACTGTTTTACATAAACTTCAAAAATAACCTATGGAAGTCATGACACTGCTTACCAGGAGGAGCTGTGTTTTAATGAGAAGGGGCATGAGGAGGGCTTCTGGGGTCAATATTCTATTCTTTATAACATCAACTCTGAAGATAGAAAAGGTTTCTCAGGGCCTGCTATATATTGAACACTGGTGTATGAATGGCCATTAGACTGTTCACTGTATAACTTATAATTTAAAGGCAAAAGAATGGGGATACACAACAAGGTATTTAAGTTCAAGGTCCCAGGCTTGGTTGCTTTCTTATGCTGATATAATCCATTTGTGTCAGCCTTTCATCAAATTTGTAACCAAACTGCAACTATGTATGGTGATTTGGGGCATCAGAAGCTGCATCTGAACACCTGAAGTCTCTGTGATGATGCTGCAGTTAGTCCTTGATCTGCATCTTTTTTTTAAGCTAAATAAATTTGGTGCTGCATAAGCCTAATTGTGTTTTGAGAGTTTGGTCGGGGATTCAAACTGACACACCCCCTCCAGAAGCCTTGTAGATTGGGAAGTTGCATGCTTATGTCTCCTTTGTGGTAATTAGCTGATTTGTGTACTTTTCTATGTGTGTTTTCACTTCAGTGTAAAAGTGTATGAAAATTAAATAGCCTTCAGGTCCCAGGCTGAACCTTCCCATTTCCATGTAGTGCTGTCTGATTACCACAAGAAAACCAGGGTAGAGGAGTAAGAGTTTATGATGCAAGATACATAGATACACACCCACTCAATATATACAGACATGTATGTCTGTGTATCGCCACTGCTTAGAATAGTAGTTATTCCCAAGAGATTAACCTCAAAATGTGTAACTAAAGATTTCCACAGTTTCTGCCTTTTTCTTTTGAGAGTTTTATATCTCCTTTGTCTATAACGATACTACAAGTTAGCCATTTTTTCAGATTTTCATTATGGAACTTTTGTCAGTTGGTGGACACTGTTTCATTGCAATGAAGCATTTTCCCAATTCACAGGAGTTAGAAATTAAAAAAGAAAAGATCAAGGAGGGTGAGTTGATTAGGAGATGCAAGACAGTTGGCAAGTCCCCCTCACTAAGTTATTATTTAAGGCAGACCAGACTTAAGACATAAGAAAGTCCAAGCCACGCCCCTACAGATTTTTAAATTTCTACCTGACACAGACATGGTTGCCATAAAAAGTAATAACACTGATTACAAAATCTACAAATGTCAATAAGTCTAGACAATGATGACAGTTTTATCCATTTCTTGTCTTGCCTAAGCAAGTACAAGTCACCTAAGGTCAGCTTTGTTCCTAGCAAGCATTGAATAAATTGTAACAAAATAAGTAAAATGAATGAAAATGGGCTATGTTTATTTATTTTTAACTTATTTAATTCTGGAACATCAAGAATTCTGTCAGGATGAACAAATGCTTAAGATAACACTTGTAAACTGGGACTGTCCTGTCTAGCCAGAATGTATGGTCAGTCTACACCCGACCCATGTAATTTTTATATAGTATCTCTTTTACTTCCAAAGTGTTCCAGAGTGAACAGAAGTTTAGCTGGTTATTCTATTCAAAGAAATGCTTTCCCATCACTTAGCTGTAACTAGAATAATATCATGTAAAAAGCAACCATAATTTGTCAGTGGCATAGAATAAATGTTTAGCTCACAAGCATGTGTATTGGTTTGTAGGTAGCTAATTTAAGCTGGAGTGACTCAACTGCATCTCTTTCTCATCCTCCTTCTTAGACTCAGTGGTCTAACATGGGCTGTTTCTTATGCTGATGGCAGAGAGCAAGACCAAATGCACAACACTCCCCAAGCTTTTGATCACATCTCACCCACTAATGTTCTGTTGACTAAAGCAAACCACATGGGACATTCAAGTTAAGAGGCAGAAAAATACAGCACACATTTTTGTGGAAGGAACCTGCAGTCATATGGAAAAGAACCTGAACCCAGGGAAGATGCAATCTACCACTGCACTTCATAATTGCAAACAATTACCACCGTGTCTGAGAGGTCTATGAATGAGACCATCCTCACTGCAAGCTGGTAAGATGATTTCACTTGTCACTTCATACTCCAGTGTCTTTTGTAGATCCACGTGAGAGGAATTTTATCACAAGCTGAAGCTATCTGGCTCTTAAAAAGCAGTTAAGCCCAATAGATAACAAGTGGATTCCCAACAGATAAATAATGGAACATTGTGTGATGTTTTCCTCTTGAGAACCCTGTCTCAAATGCTGTCCACTGACGACTCACGAGTGCACCTGAGACGTCCTTGAACTAAGTGCAAGCCAATTTTTCATCTGATGACTGTTACAGAACACTCACTCTCCACCCTGCCCCTCAGTGGACAGAAACAAAGGCAGAAGCCACAGAGCACAGCCTGGGGTACAGAAAGAAACACTCTGTCTTATAAACTCAACTAAACAGAACTGGAAAGTTAGCAAACTTCTCTCAAGCTTTATGAATTATGCTCCTTTGATAACTCTGAGCAAAACCCAATATTCACCTAACTGACATGTACCAGAGATCAGCAACATGCCATCAGGACCCTGTACTCTTCACTCCCGATGTAAGGAGCTGGATTTATATGGTATTCCTATGCTCACACGCTGGATGATTCTTCCTTTGCCTTTCAAGGTAGAAACCGCCTGGCAGAGAGGAGCCTCTCTAGAAATGACTATCATCTTTTGCTCCTCTTCTTATTTCTTTTCCATGGGAAAGGTGAAAAGATGTATGTTTACATCTAAGAAGGTATCACTTTTCAAGGCTCTGGTACATTAGACAAGTACATACTGGGCCTCATAGCTGATCACTGTACTTTAACAGGCAGAAATAACTATCCAGAAATCACCAGGTCAAATCAGATGGAATAATTGGAGCAAGCAGATGAGTAATCAAGTTAAGTTCTACCATCAGGTTGAATGAGACATGAGCCCACGGGGTTGTGTGTCCGTTTCCTCATCTGTCCTAGATTATATTAGACTCTTCATGACTCCTTTCAATAATTTCTGAATTTATGAAGTCAGTAATAATAAATTCACAATGCACTGTCAAATATGAATGCCCTAGTTTCACTGGGAAATAAATACTCAGTTTCCATGCAATCTTGGACAAGAAGAATGGTACTAATACTTCTTAGAATATTTTCTTCCTTCTTAGCATCTTCCTATTAATTTCCTAAAGCACACTTACCACTCCCTGATTATGAACTTCTTTTCTGTCACTAAGGTGAAAATAGTAGCTCATCTTACATAACTCCTTTTTGGAGCATGGAGAATGTAAAAGAATGAATGAATAAAAGAACAACATTATCTCAGTGCCATGGCAGAAACAAGAATGTTGCACCAGACATCCTCCATCCTCTACTTTAACATTAATTTATTCAAACATTTATGGAGCTAGGCATTCAGTACAAGTTTCAGAGACTGCAAAGATGAATACAGAAAAAGAGAAATACTTGTTTCAAACAGTTCTGAATCTAATAGGCAGATAAATTCACAAAAAAGACCATTCAGCTATAGTAGTGTCATACATGTTGTAGTAAAGATTCATTCAAAGGTCACAAAGACCCAAAGAATGGAAGACCTAACTGTAAATAACTTTTCGAACAATAATTAACACTCCTATATTGGGTAATGCTTTACAAAATCATTGATGTCAATTATTTGATTTTCCAAAGTCTTGTGATGAAGATATGCGTGCTTTCATTACCATCCTCCTTTTGTAGAAAAACAAAGGCTGAGAGATATTTAATATCTCACTTTTAGATGTTATTGGAATTATACAGATGATATACTATAAAAAATCCATAGAGACCGTCTTAACCTTTAACCCAGCAATTCCACTCCTAGGAATTCAGCCTACCTGGCCTCCTGAGTATATAGTATAATATCCTGGGTCAAGGGTATCAAATATTAGAATGAAATTTCTAATGATCAGACTGATGACATATAAGCATGGAAATATTCTTGATTGCCTAAAAACTACAATCAGTTATCTCAATTCTGTTAACATATTAAACTTCCTGTAGACCAAAACAAGGTAGATTATGTGTAATACAAATATTTTCTAACAAAGATAAACATAGGAATGACTCCTTGTCATTAAATGATTGTGCTACTAAAAATAATGAACATAAAATGTATTTATAAAAATATGTATTCCCTAACAGCCATTTTAATCACTTATTATACTCAATTACAAACAAAAATTAATATTTTAGATAACACTGTTTCCCAACCTGCATATATATTTTTCCCAACTTGTATTTATGTATGTTATTTTTCAGATCCTTAGAAACTCATCTTCCACATTATTCACGAGGAGCAATCACTTTGATTATTGATCTTTTCCCATAAAATCATATTTATTTCCTTCTACATTATACTCTTCACTTTCTTACTCCAGATTTTAATCATAGTTTCTAAAATCTTTGAGAGAAAAATCACAACATTTGAAGGGAAGAAAGAAAAATATTATCTCCCTCACCTAAATTATATCATGCTAAGAAAACTACAAAAATTTTAAACACATTCATGTTCAATGCCACTGCTTTAATCATAACTTACAATAAAAGAAACATTGTGATATGCAGTGCTGTGCTCTGCTTTAAGTAAATCTGGCAGGTATAAATTAATAGTTTGCATTACAATAAAATTCTCTACTCTCAGTGAAAACTTCCTTATTTCACTGAAACGTTGGTACTCTGGATAATTAAGCACCAGACAAAAAAGGGGAGGAATGGGAAGATAAAAGCCATATTTTAATTAATTAGTAAAAAAGACAAATATTCTTTAAAATTACACTGTAAGTCAATAATACCAAATTTACACATGCACACAGAAAAAACGTGCTTTACCTCAAATTTTCAAACCTTTATCTATTACATAAAATAAATTATAACTTTGTAAATATGTTAGTATTATTTTTCAGCAATTTCACAGTATTATTAATAATTTTAATTGAGTGCTTATTTTCTGCCATCTATAGTGCCAAGTATTTTACGTATCATCTACTTTTCACAATTCTTACTATAACAGAAGAGGAAATAATCACAAGTTAGTTGATATGTCCAAGATTACATAGCCAACAAGAAAAGAAGTGAGGATTTCAAGCCAGCTTTAACTAATTCCAAGTAGTGTGTCATTTTCACCACAATGAACAACTCCTATGTATGCGGGTACTGTATACAAATGTCTGTGTGTGTTTTATGTGTTTTTCCTTTATTTCTTTTATCAGAGGCTACAATTTTAGACTTGTGATTACTTAATTAACATTTGTTATGTTTCTATTAGATTACAGGGGCAGGAATATTTTGCTTACTATTGTTTCCATCATCTAGGAAATGAGCACATAGCACATAGTAAGTGCTCAATAAGTATTCTTTCATGATTTGTTCAAAAGATGCAGGCTGGTAATCTTTTTTTTTTTTTTTTTTTTAACACACTCTCACACTGTCTTCCAGGCTAGAGTGCAGTGGTGTGATCAGGGCTCATTGCAGTTTCAGCCTCAACTTCCCAAGACTCAGGTGATCCTCTCACCTGAGCATCCACGTCCCCTTGGTGAGCCACCTCGCCCAGCCATAGGCCAGTATTCTATGAACTATATTATGATCCTGCTGTTGGAATACCACTAAGGATTTAAGACCTTACAAAACTGCTAATTCACCTTCAAAAGGACCCAAAAGATGCAAGAACAATGACAAAATAAATTACCACCATCATGCATTAGAGAGAGAATTTGACTGGTTTCAGAGGAACTGCATGAGAAAACACAATTCCAGTACTTGTGTCATTTTAAGAAATAATATATTGATTTCAGAGTAAGCAAATTACTCCTCAAATTTCTAGACTGGAGAATTACATTCACTAGACATATTAAAAGCTGGAAAATTGGAGTTTACAAGTTCAATGTGTCAGTTTCCCTGATGCATGTCCCCCTTTGGCATAACACAGCATTAGCTTCATACTTTTCTCTTTTCTAGTCAGATTGGAAAGAAAAACGATCTTTTATTTAGCCATTAAATATAATGTCCACTGTCAGAGCAAGGGAAGCAACAAATGGGCACATGATTAAGTACTGGCAGCCCTTTTAACTTTGAAAGCCTCTTTCCAGGGGCTCACGTGGCCATAACTCTCCCAGTCTGGAACCACTTTGGCAATGATGATTTTTAAAGAAGGGTTATTAATAATTCCTCAACTTTTGATAATTTACCTCTTTGAAAAACCATGTGTAAACTTACTGGCCCAGACATAGTGAATAGCATTTTCGAAACTATCTGGCAATGCTCTCTGGCAAGCACAAATGAACATCTCTAGGAAAGTGATTTGCATTCTGCTTACAGAGGTAGTGGCTGATGGCGATAATTCTGTAGAAAACTTATTTTCACTAAGATATGACTATATTATATTCAATAATACTGTATTTATTACTTTAATTCCTCCAACCATCCTGGCAGACAGATAGAATAGGATCCTCTTTTACAGGTGAGGAAACAATGATTCAGAGAAGTGAAATAAATTTTCCAGGACACAGAGCTATGTAGTAGGAGAACCCATATTCAAACCAGAAAGCCTAGTTCTTTCCATGATTCTGCCTACTCACTCTTCTGAATTGGGTTTGCAAACAGTATTATCCTCCCATCACACAGTGCCCTTTGCTGTTGTCACTTTTGTAGAAAGTTATATTTTCTCAGACTCCAGTCTGCCAGGCTGGAAGAATGTAAACTGCTTTTACAGGGCACTTGTCAGGGCCATTTTTCCATAAAAATCTTTATAGGGAGCATGAAGCTCAGCAAACACGTTTACCACATACTGTAGACACACGTGGTCCAATTGTGATTCTTTGGAAAGCTCTAACAGGATGCGTTAGTCCGTTTTCACATTGCTCTAAAGAAATACCCGAGATTGGGTAATTTATAAGGGAAAGAAGCTTAACTGGCTCATAGTTCCACATGGCTCAGGAGGCCACAGGAAACTTACAATCATGGTGGAAAATGAAGCAGGCACATCTTACATGGCGGCAGGTGAGAGAGAGAGCATGTGAAAGTGCAGGAAAAACTACACTTTATAAAACCGTCAGATCTGGTGAGAATTCACTATCACTTGAAAAGCATGGAGATGGCCCCCATGTTCCAGTCACTTCCCTCCCTCAACATGTGGGGATTACAATTCAAGATGAGATTTGGGTGAGGACACAGAGCCAAACCATATCGCAGGAATAACTGCAGTCTTAATTAGAAAAGAGGATCAGTTTGGGTCAATTGTGACAGTATTGTTCATAATTGTAAAAAAAATAAATAAAACCAAACAGATGTCCATCAAAAGTAGAATGAACAAATTATTTCAAATGCTTCATTTAATTGAATATAATAGAGGAATTTATATGAAATACAACTATTGCACTAAAATATACCAATGGCCTTAATGTGTGATAATGCTAGGAAATAGACCAAAATGCCACTGGGGTACCCAGATATTTGGTTAAACGTTATTTTGTATCTGTCTGTAAGGGTGTTTTTGGATGAAATTAACATTTGAATAGTGTCTGTGTTGCCACGAAGAAGTACCCAAGGGGCTGGGTATTTTGTAAAGAAAAGAGGTTTATTTGGGTCACAGTTCTGAAGGCTGTACAAGAAGCATAGTGCCAGCATCTGCATCTGGTGAGGGCCTGGGAAGATTACACTCATGGCAGAAGAAGAAGGGGAGCCAACGCATTACATGATGAGAGAAAGAGCAAAACACAGAGGGAGGAGGTGCCAGGCTTCTCTAAACAACCAGATCTCATGTGAACTCAGAGTGAGAATTCACTCATTACCACAAGGACAGCACCAAGCCATTCATGAGGTATCTGCCCCCATGACCCAAACACCTCCTATTAGGCCCACTTCCAACAGTGGAAGTCACATTTCAACATGAAATTTGGAGAATACAAAACATCCAAACCATATTAAATAGGTATACTGACTAAAGCAGACTACCCTCCCTAGTGGAGTCGCCACACTGTCTTCCACAATGGTTGAACTAATTTACATTCCCGCCAACAGTGTAAAAGTGTTCCTATTTCTCCACATCCTCTCCAGCATCTGTTGTTTCTGGACTTTTTAATTATTGCCATTCTAACTGGCATGAGATTGTATCTCATTGTGGTTTTGATTTGCATTTCTCTAATGACCAGTGATGTATGAGCTTTTTTTCATGTTTGTTGGTTGCATAAATGTCTTCTTTTGAGAAGTGTCTGTTCATATCATTCACCCACTTTTTGATGGGGTTGTTTATTTTTTTCTTGTAAATTTGTTTAAGTTCTTTGTAGATTCTGGATATTAGCCCTTTGTCAGATGGATAGAATGCAAAAATTTTCTCCCACTCTCTAGGTTGCCTGCCCAGGACCAGATGGACTCATAGCCGAATTTTATCAGAGGTACGAGGTGGAGCTGATGCCATTCCTTCTGAAACTATTCCAAACAATAGAAAAAGAGGAACTGCTCCCTAACTCATTTTATGAGGCCAGCATCATGCTGATATCAAAACCTGGCAGAGACACAACAATAAAAGAAAATTTCAGGCCAATAACCCTGATGAACATTGATGCGAAAATCCTAAATAAAATACTGGCAAACCGAATCCAGCAGCACAGCAAAAAGCTTATCCACCATGATCAAGTGGGCTTCATCCCTGGGATGCAAGGCTGGTTCAACATACGCAAATCAATAAACGTAATCCATCACATAAACAGAACCAATGACCGTTGGTTATCAATAATTATCTCAATAGATGCAGAAAAGGAATTCAATAAAATTCAACACCTCTTCATGCTAAAAACTCTCAATAAACTAGGTATTGATGGAATGTATATCAAAATAATAAGAACTATTTATGACAAACCCAAAGCCAATATCATACTGAATGGGCAAAAGCTGGAAGCATTCCCTTTGAAAACCAGCATAAGACAAGGATGCCCTCTTCCACCACTCCTATTCAACCTAGTATTGGAAGTTCTGGCCAGGGCAATCAGGCAAGAGAAAGCAATAAAAGGTATTCAAATAGGAAGAAAGTAAGTCATATTGTCTCTGTTTGCAGACGGCATGATTGTATATTTAGAAAACCCCATGGTCTCACACCAAAACCTCCTTAAGCTGATAAGCAACTTCAGCAGAGTCTCAGGATGCAAAATCAATGTGCAAAAATCACAATCATTCCTGTACACCAATAATAGACAAACAGTCAAATCATGAGTGAACTCCCATTCACAGTTGCCACAAAGAAGATAAAATACCTAGGAATACAACTTACAAGGGATGTGAAGGACCTCTTCAAGGAGAACTACAAACCACTGCTCAAGGCAATAAGAGACGACACAAACAAATGGAAAAACATTCCATGCTCATGGATTGGAAAAATCAATATCATGAAAATGGCGGTACTGCCCAAAGTAATGTATAGATTCAATGCTATCCCCCTCAAGCTACCATTGTCTTTCTTCACAAACTAGAAAAAACTACTTTAAATTTCATATGGAATCAAAAAAGAGCCCACATTGCTAAGTCAATCCTAAGCCAAAAGAACAAAGCTGGATGCATGACACTACCTGACTTCAAACTATACTACAAGGCTACAGTAACCAAAACAGCATGGTACTGGTACCAAAACAGATATATAGACCAATGGAACAGAACAGAGGCCTCAGAAATAATGCCACACATATACCGCTATCTGATCTTTGACAAACCTGACAAAAACAAGTAATGGGGAAAGGATTCCCTAGTTAATAAATGGTGTTGGGAAAACTGGCTAGCCACATGCAGAAAACTGAAACTGGACCACTTCCTTACACCTCATACAAAAATTAACTCAAGATGGATTAAAGACTAAAACCATAAAAACCCTAGAAGAAAACCTAGGCAATACCATTCAGGACAGAGGCATGGGCAAAGACTTCATGACTAAAACACCATAAGCAATGGCAATAAAAGCCAAATTGACAAATGGGATCTAATTAAACTAAAGAACTTCTGCACAGCAAAAGATTATGGCCATTCTTGCAGTCGTGAGGGAGTACTGCATTGTGGTTTTGATTTGCATTTCCCTGATCATTAGCGATGTTGAGCATTTTTTCACATGTTTGTTGGCCATTTGTATATCTTCTTTGGAGAATTGTCTATTCATGTCCTTAGCCCACTTTTTGAAGGGATTGTTTGCTTTTTTTCTTACTGCCTTGTTTGAGTTCATTGTAGTTTCCGGATATTAGTCCTTTGTCAGGTGTATAGAGTGTGAAGATTTCTCCCAATCTTGTGGGTTGTCTGTTTACTCTGCTGAGTCTGTTCCTTTTTCTATGCAAAAGCTCTTTAGATTAATTAAGTCCCAACTAGTTATCTTTGTTTTTATTGCATTTGCGTTCACACGACAAAATTGTCCAATGATGCATTTATCTGAATATATCCCTGTCACTAAGCAGTGAATGACTGAATATATAAAATGGCTTTGATACTGATTTTCCCTAGTTCATATGAAAATAAAATTCTAGTATAATTAAAACTAAGAATTTCTTCACACCCAGTGTTGTGATAGAGTTCACTTCCAGAGGATTAACCACCAGAAATATACCCAGTGAATTCCTTAGCATGAGACCACCTACTTGCTAATAATGTATTTAGATGTCATACAAAATATTTTGGAATCAGGTGCAACATTTACTATTTTGTAATTAATTTACTAAATTTTATGAAGCTGAATTTTATTTTTGTATAAATTTATGGAGTAGAAGTGGAATTTTATTACATGCATAGATTTCCTAGTGGTGAAGTCAGGGGTTTTAGTGTATCCATCACCTAAATAACGTACATAGTACCCTTTAAGTAAATTCTCATCATCCAGCCCCCTCCCACACTTTCACCCTTCCAAGTCTCCATAGTCTATCATTCCAGACTCTATGTATTTGCATACGCATTTAGCTTCCACTTATGAGTGAGAACATACAATATTTGTCTTTCTGTATCTGGCTTGCTTCACTGAAGATAATAGCCTCCAGTTCCATCCATGTTGCTGTGAAAGACTTAATTTCATTCTTTTTTATGGCTGAATAGTATCCTGTTGTGTATATATACCACATTTTCTTTATTCAAGCATCCAGTGATAGACACATGTTGATTTCGTATCTTTGCTATTGTGAAAAGTGCTGTGATAACATATAAGTGCAGATATCTATGTAAAATAATAATTTATTTTCCTTAGAGTAGATACCCAGTAGGGAAATTGCTGGATCAAATGGTAGTTCTATTTTTAGTTCTTTGAGGAATCTCCATACTGTGTTCCACAGAAGTTGGACTAATTTACATTCTCACCAACAGTGTATGAGTACCCTTATCTCTGCATCCTCGCCAACATCTGTTATTTATGTTTTTATAATAGCCATTCTCACTGGGATGATACTCAATGTGGTTTTAATTTGCCTCAGAGGATTAGTGATGTTAAGCAATTTTTTTCATATAACTGTTAGTCATTTGTATGTCTTCTTTTGAAAACTGTCTATTCATATATTTTGCCCACTTTTTAATGGTGTTATTTGGGGTTATTTTGTTGAGTTCTTTGAATTATTTGTATATTCTGGATATTAGACCCTTGCCAGGGGCATAGTTTGCAAATATCTTCTCCCATTCTGCAGGCTGTCTGTTCGCTCTGTTATTTCCTTTGCTGTACAGGAGCTTTTTAGTTTAATTAAGTCCCATTTGTCTATTTTTGTTTTTGTTACTTGTGCTTTTGAGGTCTTAGCCATGAATTATTTGCCTAGCCCAATGTCCAGAAGAGTTCTTTCCCTAGGTTTTCTCCCAGTAATTTTATAGTTTCAGGTCTTACATTTAAGTCTTTAATCCATCTTGAGATGATTTTCATATATGATGAAGGATGGCAGTTCAATTTTATTCTTCTGTATATGGCAATCCAATTTTCCCAGCACCACCATTTATTAAAGAAACTTTCCTTTCCTCAGTTTATGTTCTTGTCAATTTTGTCAAAGATCAGTTTGCTGTAGATAGGTGGATTTATTTTGGGGTTTGCTATTCTTCCATTGTTCTATGTCTATTTTTATATCAGTACCATGCTGTTTGGGTTATTACAGCTTTCTAGTATAATTTGACATCAGCTAACGTGATACCTCTGGCTTTGTTCTTTTTGCTTAGGATTCCTTTGGCTAATCGGGTTCTTTTATGGTTCCATATGAATTTTAGAATAGTTGTTTCTAATTCTGTGAAAAATGACATTAGTATTTTAATAGAGATAGCACTCAATCTTTACATTGCTTTGGGTAGTATTATCCTTTTTACGATATTAATTCTTCTAATCCATGGGCATGGGATTTTTTTTTACATTTGTGCCCTGTTCAATTTCTTTCATCAGTGTTTTGCAGTTTTCCTTGTAGGCAATGTTCACCTTGTTGGTTAAATATATTCCTAGATATTTTTTGTAGCTATTGTAAATAAGATTGCCTCCCTGATTTCGTTCTCAGCTAGACTGTTATTGGTCTATGGAAATGCTACTGATTTTTATACATTGATTTGTATCCTGAAACTTTACTGAATTCATTTATCAAATTTAAGAGTTTTTTGGTGGAGTCTTTAGGTTTTATAGATATAAGATCATATCCTCAGTGAACAGGGATGTATGTTTTTCCCAGATATTCAACTTCAGAGCTTCTTACAGGCTAAAAACTGTAAGCATATAAAGAAAGGATATTTATTGAATCACTATTCATAGTGGTGAACAATCTGAATAGTCAATAACAAGTAAATGGTTACATAAATTATGATGTATTTATTCTGCAGAATATAATGCAGACAGAAAAAGAACAAATTAGATGTATATTCACTCTCTAGAGGGCTATTTTATATGAATAAATGAAGAATGCAGCTGCAGAAAAACATATACATTAAAAATCTTTTTTTATAAACAATCCTATATCTGCATTTAAGCTTAAATGAGTAAAATTAGTAGTACAAAGTACACACTGGATTACCTTGAGGAGGTCAAACAGAAGTTTATTTAATTCTTTATACATTTTTTCTATCATTTTATATTATAAATAACCATGTGTTTTTTTGTACTTAAAAAAATTGTCATGAAACATAATTATCTTTCCAAGAACAAGAAATAGCATAGTTATTACTTCAGGGTATGTCATTTTACCTTTTTATTTGCTTAAAATTTTTTTTTAATGAATAAAGTTTTTATACTAATCATATGCACACACCTATTTAGTATTTAATGTGTAATTTTTAACCACATTGATTTTATTAAATGCCACTGTTTATAGGTGTACAACAAAAGGTGATAGAACTTTTGAACAAATGTAGGTTTATACTCAAATTCACGAACCATTTTAGAAACACAGCCAACATACTGCCCATGAGTTCACTTCATCAAAGCTTCTGTTGTTAACTCTTAATCAATCTTGTTGAAACTAATTAAAACAGCACTAGCTTTAATTGGTCTAAGCGGACCATAATTGATGTTCTAACAACCAAGCATTTTAAGACAGAAACTCAAGGCCAACCTGGATCAGTTTTTAACAGAAGCCAGTTCAAGTTATGGCGTTTGTTGTAGATGGGTTGTTGCTCTGGGAATGTGATAAATATGAAGAAAAAAGGCAAAGCTTGAGATGATGTAACATTATTAGCCACACTCAGAAGTGCAGAAAACTATAAATGGATCTGTGCCCTTATAGCCACTTGGAGAAATAAGTATTCAGAAGGAGAACATGTTTGATGGATTTGGAATGCTACAGAAAAAAGCATACCTTCATTTGATTTGAAAACCACACATTCTACTTTAAAGTTCATATGGAACCACAAAAGAGCCCACATTGCCAAGTCAATCCTAAGCCAAAAGAACAAAGCTGGAGGCATCAAGCTACCTGACTTAAAACTATACTACAAGGCTACAGTAACCAAAACAGCATGGTACTGGTACCAAAACAGAGATATAGACCAATGGAACAGAGCAGAGGCCTCAGAAATAATGCCACATATCTACAACCATCTGATCTTTCACAAAGCTGACAAAAACAAGAAATGGGGAAAAGATTCACTATTTAATAAATGGTGTTGGGAAAACTGGCTAGCCATATGTAGAAAGCTGAAACTGGATCCCTTCCTTACACCTTATACAAAAATTAATTCAAGATGGATCAAAGACTTAAATGTTAGATCTAAAACCATAAAAACCCTAGAAGAAAACCTAGGCAATACCATTCAGGACATGGGCACGGGCAAGGACTTCATGTCTAAAACACCAAAAGCAATGGCAACAGAAGCCAAAATTGACAAATGGGATCTAATTAAACTAAAGAGCTTCTGCACAGCAAAACAAACTGCCATCAGTGAACAGGCAACCTACAGAATGGGAGAAAATTTTTGCAATCTACTCATCTGACAAAGGGCAAATATCCGGAATCTACAATGAACTCCAACAAATTTACAAGAAAAAAACAAACGACCCCATCAACAAGTGGGCGAAGGATATGAACAGACACTTCTCAAAAGAAGACATTTATGCAGCCAAAAGACACATGAAAAAATGCTCATCATCACTGGCCATCAGAGAAATGCAAATCAAAACCACAATGACATACCATCTCACACCAGTTAGAATGGCAATCATTAAAAAGTCAGGAAACAAGTGCTGGAGGGATGTGGAGAAATAAGAACACTTTTACACTGTTGGTGGAACTGTAAACTAGTTCAACCATCGTAGAAGTCAATGTGGCAATTCCTTAGGGATCTAGAACTAGAAATACCATTTGACCCAGCAATCCCATTACTGGGTATATACCCAAAGGATCATAAAACATGCTGCTATAAAGACACATGCACACGTTATGTTTATTGCGGCACTATTCACAATAGCAAAGACTTGGAACCAACCCAAATGTCCAACAATGACAGACTGGATTAAGAAAATGTGGCACATATACACCATGGAATACTATGCAGCCATAAAAAAGGGTGAGTTCATGTCCTTTGTAGGGACATGGATGAAGCTGGAAACCATCATTCTCAGCAAACTATTGCAAGGACAAAATACCAAACACTGCATGTTCTCACTCATAGGTGGGAACTGAACAATGAGAACACATGGACACAGGAAGGGGAACATCACACACCGGGGCCTGTTGCAGGGTGGCAGGAGGGGGAGGGATAGCATTAGGAGACATACTTAATGATAAATGATGAGTTAATGGGTGCAGCACACCAACATGGCACATGTATACATATGTAACTAACCTGCATGTTGTGCACATGTACCCTAAAACTTAAAGTATAGTAATAAAAAAAAGAAAACCTCATATTGAGAGCACAATATGTTCATTCATCTATTTATCCTACAAACATTTTTTAGAATTTAATTTTCATTGCCAAGCTCTGTACTGTCTCTAAGGACAAAGCAATAAAGAAGATTAACCCTGTCACCAGCCCTAATGCTGACATTTTAAGAAACACAAATTACCTCCCCTCCCTCAAGCTGTTTTACTGCCACCCACCTGAAAAGTGTTGTGAAAAATACACAAATCTAAGATAACTACAAATGTGAATGGTTACCCTGGAGTTCTGCAGTGCCTAAAGATCACAAAATCCTAGGGACCACGATGTAATTTTGCCGTGTCTCCGCTCAAATCTCATCTTAAATTGTAGTTCCCAGAATCCCAATGTGTTGTGTGAGGGACCTGGTGGGAGGTCCCTCATGTGGGCGGTTACCTACATGCTGTTCCCATGATAATGAGTGAGTGCTCACAAGATCTGCAAGATCTGATGGTTTATAAGGGGCTTTTCCCCAGCCTCGCTCTGCACTTCTCCTTGCTGCCACCATGTGAAGAAGGTCACGTTTGCTTCCCCTTCCACCATGGTTATAAGTTGCCTGAGGCCTCCCTAGCCCTGTAGAACTGTGAGTCAATTAAAGCTCTTTCCTTTATAAATTACCCAGTCTTGGGTATGTCCTTATAGCAGCATGAGAACAAACTAATACAGACTGGGAATACAGAGATAGTAAACATATCGGATCATTTCAATATCACTATATTATCTAAGTCAGAGGTATGTATCAGGGACTAGGGTGACCAAAGGAGGGCCTGGTTAGAAAGTTTGACAAATGTTTTCTTGAAGAGATGATGGCCAAACCATGTCTGGGCCAAATTTTTCAGGTGTGATATGCTTTTATCTGAATGTGAAGAAAAGGTGGATCTTTGATAGATCCTGACCAAGGCAGTGAAAGATCCTTGTAGTGGGTCTTTAGGTAGATAAATGAGAGAGAGAGTTACCATCAAATCACCAAGATGTTATTTTCTCCAGTTTAAAGAAAAAGACTCAGCCACTTCTTCCTCTCTGTTCTCTTTCATAGCGATTCTCAGCTCTTTGGAGGCTACCTTGTGAAGACTCCCCTGATCTAAATTATTAAGACCATCTTCTTTGGGAATGACGAGAGAAGAGGAAGAAGAAAGCAGTGTGCAAAGAATGAGAATTCTATGTGCCTCCAAAGAGAAAAAACTGCAACTACACATCAGCGTTATGCAAATGACCTCTATTCTTAAAAGTTGGCTGAAAATGAGGAAATCCATTGCATTCACAGAGATATTCTGTGGGAGCAAAAAGGGAGAGAACAACAGTACTACTTTAAAAAGAAATGTACTATGTAATTTTCCCTAGCATTATCCAAATCAAACATTTTTGAAGCAACAAGCCTCTATCCAGAGCTCAGAAACTGAAAAAAATATATTACATTTTTCTTATACAGGCATACCTTGGATATATTGGAAGGTAAGTTGCAGATTATGGCAGTTATGCAAAATACCCTATTAAGCAAGTCATACCATAATTTTTGGTTTACCAGTGCATATAAAAGTTATGTTTATATTGTAGTCTTTTCAGTGTGCAATAGAATTATGTCTCAAAAAATGCACACAACTTAAAAATTCCTTGTTGCTAAAAAATTCTAACAATCATCTGAGCCTTCAAAGAGTCATCATCTTTCTGCTGGTAGAGGGCCTTGCCTCAGTGTCAATGGCTACTGCCTAATCAGGGTGATGTTTGCTAAAGTTTGGGATGGCTGTGGCAATTTAGTAAAGTAAGACAATAAAGTCAGCATCTTCAGTTACTCTTCCTTTTACAAAAAAATTTCTCTGTAGCATGTGATGCTGTTTGATAGCATTTACTCACAACAAAACCTCTTTCAAAATTGGAGTCCTCTTAAAAATTGTCCTTGCTTTATTAACTAAACTTATGTAATATTCTAAGTCCTTTGTTGTCATTTTGACAATGTTCACAGTATCTTCAGCAAGAGTGGAGTCCACCTCGTGAAACCGTTTTCTATTTTCATGCATAAGAAACAACTGTTCATCAGTTCAAGTTTTACCATGAGATTGCAGCAATTCAATCACGTCTTCAGAACCCACTTTTAATTCTAGTTCTCTTGCTATTTCTATCACATCTGCAGTTACTTCCTTAACTCAAGTTGCTAGAAAATAATGCAGCTAGTGACTTTACATTGAACCCTTCAAAGTAAGGGGTTGGAATCCATTTCTTCCACACTCCTGTTAAGGTTGCTATTTTGACCTCCTCCCATGAGTTATGAATATTCTTAATGTCATTTAGAATGATGAATCCTTTCCAGGAGGTTTTTAATTTCCATTAAAGGAATTGTTCTCTATATCTATGGCAACTATAGTCTTACAAAATGTGTTTTTCAAATAATAAGACTTGAAAATCAAAATTACTCCTTGATCCATGGGCTGCAGAATGGATATTGTGTTATTAGCCATGAAAACAACATTAATCTCCTTGTGCACCTCCATCAGAGCTCTTGGGTGAACAGGTGCATTGTCAATGCACAGTAATATTTTGAAAGGAATCTCTTTCTCTGAGCAGTAGGTCTCAACAGTGGACTTAAAATGTTCAATAACCATACTATAAACAGATGAGTTGTCATCTAGGCTTTGTAGTTCCACTTATAAAGCACAGGCAGAGTCCATATAGCATTATTCTTAAGGGCGCTAGGATTTTTGGTCAATGAGCATTGGCTTCAACTTAAAGTCATCAGCTGCATTAGACACTAACAAGAGAGTCAGCCTGTCCTTTGAAGCTTCTAAGTCAGGCATTGACTTCCCCTTTCTAGCTGTGAAAGTCTTAGATGATCATCTTCCAATATAAGGTTGTTTCTTCTCCAGTGAAAATCTACTATTTAGCATGGCCACCTTCATCAATAATTTTAGCTAGATCTTCTACATAACTTGCTACAGCTTCTATATTAGAACTTCCTGCATCACCTTGCACTTTTATTTTATGTATATGGCTTCTTACCTTAAGTCTCATGAATCAATCTCTGCTAGATTCCCACTTTTCTTCTTCAGCTTCCCCACCTGTCTCAGCCTTCATAGAATTAAAGAGAGTTAGGGCTTTCTCTGAATTTAACTTGGCTTAAGGAAACATTGTGGCTGGCTTGATCTTCTATCCAGACCACTCAAAATTTCTCTACTTCAGCAATAAAGCTGCTGCTTTCTTATCATTTGGGTGTTCAGTGTGGTAGCAATTTAATTTTTTTCAAGAATTTTCCTTTGTATTTACACATTGATTAACTCTTTGGTATAATATGTCTAGGTTTTCTACATGCCTTCCTTGCTAAACAATCATTTCTAGCTTTTGATTTAAAGTGAGAGACATATGACTCTTCCTTTTACTTAAACACTTAGAGGCCATTGTAGGACTATTACATGACCTACTTTCAATATTATTCTGTTTCATGTAAAAGGGAGGCTTGAGGAGAGAGAGAGAGAGACAGACAGACAGGAGAATAGCCAGTTGGTAGAGTAGTCAGAACACATGTATTTGTCCTTTAAACACTGTCATCTTATAAGGGCAAAGCTAGTGGCATCCCTCCAAAATTACAATCATTACATCAAAGATCATTGATCACAGATCACCATAGCAAATATAATAATGATGGAAACATTGTAAATATTGCGAGAATTACCAAAATGTGACCCAGACACGTGAAGTGAGCACATGCTGTTGGAAAAATGGCTCCAATACACTTGTTCAGCATAGGGCTGCTACCATTTTTCAATCCATAAAAATACAATATCTATGAATTCCAATGAAGCCAAGCATAATGAAATAATATATGATATATATGTTCTAACTCAGGAGCATTTAAAATAATATGGTCCTCATTTTAATTACATCATTTATTTCTACTACTCAGCAGCACACATATAAACAAGGGGAAGAAAGGGGAGCAACTGCCCTGAGTGGGCTCAACCATACACAAATTGGTCAATGGCAAACACATTTAAGCAGAATGTTGGGGGAGGGGGCCGGTGGTATTTCCTTGGATTTTAGGCACTTTGGGCAAGAATCTAACCAGGAACCAAGATAAAAATATTAAGAGTTGGAAAAGGAGCTAAGTTTATGTTTCTACATCACTTTTCTTCAAGTTACTCAAAGTGTTTGGTTCAAAATACCAGAAGATTTGGTGACATGGGTGAAAGGATATTTCAGATGCTAAAAATGAAATACTTGAAAATAATGTAGTTTATTCATAGAGTGAAGAACTAACAAGAATATGTCTTTTTCACCAAAAAAACCCCTCACATTCCTCCTCCCTCTTCTAGTCCCTGGATGATTCTATTTAAACATTTGTAAATTTTAAACATTTTATAAACAGTTTTAAATACTGGTGCAGGATTGAGTTGCTAGTTACTTTGTAACTAGTAAACATTTGGCCACATTTTCCTCTTGTGAGCTAGGTAAACATTTCCATGTATTTTTCTAGCTCTTACCTATTCCATGGATGATCATCAGCAATTGTATATAACAAGTCATAGACGAACAAAGATACTCAACATACTAAGGAAGTAATTTACCCAAGATTTTGTGTAGTTATTTTGATGAGCAGATTTTGGCCATAACATTACTAATTGCAAAATCTTGTATCATTCCAGGGAGAGGCTAAAAATCTCTCATGAAAGCACCAGTATCTGAGTGCTGACCACGGTAGGCTTCTGCGCTTACAGAGGAGCTGCATCACAGATGAGAGAAATACAACCAAGACTTCAACTACAATTGAGCAGAAAGCCTCCCATAAACATGAAGACAATTCGTAACCAGAGTTTAAGTTTTATAAAGGTGTCTAAAAATATCTTATTTTGAATCATGCAAAAGTGATCCAGTCTGGAAGCATTGTAAAAATAATGCTTCCTTCCCAGGCTGGGTAGTTTGTAAAACCCTAGAGACTAGAATTTCCTCAAGCCTATTTTATCCTCTTTATTCTGGAGAAGAAAACAAATCAAGAAATCGAAACACTTGACCTTGGAAAGGATCTCATCCTTTGTTACAGACTGGCTGACTCTGAATATATCAGGAATGTACTTCCTAGACCCCAGGACTCAAATATAACCAGAGTGACAGATAGGGCAGGTCTGAGAGAAGTAGCAAACGTACTTCATCTTAGGGTCAGAAAGAAACATGCTGGTATAATTCTAACTTAGAAAATAACCAGGTAAGGGGTCTTGTAAACTTCATACAATGCTGCTGCCTCTGAGTTATTAAAAAAATTACTAACAGGCTTCTGATCAACTAAAGGAATAAAATTAGGTGTTCAAAGGAGATTTTTTAATGTCCTCATCTAGAATTATTTCCCCATTGTGATAACACTGAATTATAACCAGAAGCTGGACATATTTTAAAACACCTTTTAAATAGGCAGGTCTAAACCTTGAAAACATCAGTGATATAGAGAACCCACCATTGAGTGTGAAGTTTGAGAAATTGATCCTAAAGCTTTAATTAATTGTCCCACGTCAGGCTACCAATAGATTAACGCTTTTGTTCTTGTCACCACTACCTTTATAAAAAAATACATGGATGGAAAATGTGAAGAAATAAAAGAGAATGATGAATGCCTTCACATTTAAAGATGGAAAGAAAAGAGGAACCGTTTCAAATACCACATGGGAGAAGAAATTTGTATCTTTACCATTCAGAATATACTCATAATTCCTGCCCATTTGCTCAACTATGTTTACTATTTTACTTTTCACTGAACCTTAACACAGATCAATTTGGGACAAAGATACAAATAAGTTTTTTGATAATTTTTGCAATCTTGATAATTTTCTTTAAAAAATTAACATAACAACATGGCCTAGTGCTACATATCAAGCTTTTTTTTAATAGGCTTTTAAGAAGAGTTTTAAGTCCACAGCAAAATTGAGCAGAAAGTACAGAGTTTCCATATACCTCCGACCTATCCCCTTCCCAGAGCCTCATGACTATCAATATCCCCCACCAGAATGGTACATTCATTATAGCTGATGAGCCTATACTGACATCATTATCACCCAAAGTTCATTGTTTACATTAGGGTTCACTCTCGGTGTTGTACATTGTATGGATTTGAACAAATTTATAATGACATGTATCTACAGTAGTAACATACACACTAGTTTCGCTGCCCTAAAAATCTTCTGTCCTCTGCCTATTCGTTCCTCCCTCCCTTTAAACCCTGGATCTTTTTAATGTCGCCATAGTTTTGCCTTTTCTAGAAGTCATGTAGTTGGAATTACACAATATGTAGTCTTTTTGGATTGCCTTCTTTCACTTAGTAATATATATTTAAGATTACTCTATGCCTTTCCATGCCTTGATAGCTCATTTCTTTTTAATACTGAATAATATTCAATTGCCTGGATGTGCCACAGTTTATTTATCAATTCACCCAGTAAGAGACATCTTGGTTGCTTCTAAGTTTTGGCAAATATGAACAAATCTGCTATACACAATCATGTGCAAAACTTTTGTAGGAATTTTCAACTCCTTTGGATATATATCAAGAAGTACAATGGCTGAATTGTACGTTAAGAGCGTAGCTAGTTTTGTTTTAAGAGACTGCCAAACTGTGAGACTGCCAAACTGTCTTCCAAAGTACCACTTTACATTCCTACCAGCAATGAATGAGCTTTCCTGTTAGGTACTTCCAAGGCATCATTTTGCATTCCTAGCAGCAATGAATGAGAGTTCCTGTTATTCCACATTCTTACTAGCACTGGGTGATGTCAGTTCCAGATTTTGGCCATCCTAATAGGCATGTAGTAGTATCTCACTGTTGTTTTAATTTGCAATTCCCTAATGATATAGGATGTTGTGCATATTTTAATAAGCTTATATACCATCTGTATATTTTCTTTGGTGAGTTTTCTGTTCAGATCTTTTGTGCAGTTTAAAATGAGGTTGTTCGTGTTTTTCTTGTTGAGTTTTAAGAGTTCTCTGTATATTTTGGATAATAGTTCTTTATCAAATGTGCCATTTGCAAATATTTTCTCCCAGTCTGTGGTTTGTCTTCTTACTCACTTGACACATTGAGTTTTCTCATAGAAAATAGTGCTTATTTGGAAGAATAAGATATTTCTTTGTCAGTCTGTATCTTTCAGATACCCAATTTATAATTCCAGAAGTTAGAACATTTTCTAGCTCCTCTCATGTTCAGAAAGGCAGATATTTTATCTAATCTATAATTATCCCGTTCACAAATTAAATAGATATTTTTGTTCCTCAAACTCGCTTTTTTATTCCTCGAACATTTCATTTTCTCTTTTCCTACCAATTTCAAAATCAATAGATATTAACATCCAACTGATCTTTGCCAGTGAGTACTAGGAGAGAAGAACTAAGTTGAAAAATAAATTTCTATCTGCTTTTAGAATGGGTGCATATTGTGCCACACTGCCAAGCTATATTTAACTTTCTGGCAATATATTTTCTTAGGGTTTAATTCTGGGCCAGCCAGAGAGAAATATTACTTTAGCATTAAAGCTATACATTCTGGAGAGAAAAGCATAACTTTCTGATGAAGAAAAGAACTGGGAGTAATTTCCATTTTATAATGCCTTATTAGAGCATTAGAGAAGGTTTGACAAAAAACAATGGTACAGACCACAGGAAGGAAAAACAATTAAAAAAGATTAATGCACAAGGATTCCCTACCATAGGCAAGGTAGGCTAGACATAACCTCATGTAACTTTGCCTAGCATGAAAAAAAAATTGACAGTTTATCTTTACAGAATACTTACAAAGTTTCAGCGCAAATTGCCACATTTTTGAGTTAGGCAAACAAAGCACAAAGTTTCTCATACTCTACAATGAGCAAATGAGAGGGGCCTAGAAAACATTTCTGTCAGGTTTGAGATGGTTTAAATGCTGAAAACAAAAAAAAAAAAAAGAAAAGAAAGAAAGAAAAATCTGATCCTCCCTGCTAATTGTATTTTGCAACAGAGATGGGCCTTGGTTATGGCTGCAGTTGAACAATGAATATTTCCAAAAGGAGACCTTTGCCTGAAAATGGCAGAGAACTACAAAAAACTCATACTCAAGACCTCTTCAGAATCAGATCAACTTCTCCCATTTGCTAACCCCTTCCAGATTTATATCCTGTAAAATTTTGGTTGATGAAGACATACAGAATCTTGCCCAGGACCGCACATCCAAATAGTATTGAGAGACTGGAGACAGAAGTGGGGAAGAGGAAGTTATCTAGAAGCAATTCATGCCTCCTGTCAGAAAGCTCCAGAAGGATAGATTGCTTCTTATTCAAAATGAGCTAGAAACAAAAATGCTATTATGAGGCTTATAACAGAGCTTCCTCACATTACAAAAGAAGACAGCTATCATGAAGAAAATCATGTGACTTACTATTTTCTATAGAAAACAAAAAAAAATTCAGAGACAATGTCCAGTATGTATTATCACCAACTTTCAATAAGGGATACAATACCAAGGACCTGCTGGTGAAGCTCAGCCCACGGGAGTGTGCTATTTTGCCTCACCAATGCAGAAAAATTGCCCACATTTTCTTTCTATAAAAATCTAGATTTCTTTTGACAAATTGTAAAATCTGGCAGTATTTGGTCCCTGTTTCCAAATGGAGACTAGTGGGCTAGACCTGAGGAGGCGACATTCCCCAAAATGGGCCCATGGTACCCACTAGCACATCCTAGATCCTTACCAAAGGCCCAGTTTTCTCGTTTGTGTCACCCACTTGACTTGTTGAAATTCAGATTCACAATTTCTGATATATAAGAAATATGGAGGCAATGAAGTCACAGACATCTTGAGGAGTGATTTACATAGGTTAGACAAAAATGCAACAGCTGGGACTTCTGGAGTGGTGGAATGAGGGCTTTCATAAACCCTGTCTCAATAATTACAAATAATAATAATATAACAGTATGATTTAGGGAATGAGCTGTCCACAGATGGTTTTGAGAAGCTCTGACATATTCCTAAGGATCTTGAAGACCACACAAATGTGCAGAGCCATGCACATGACCAGAAAACACCTGAGAGATTGCTCAGCTCTCTCTTTTGGCTGACCCTGAGGGCCTGCGCAAGCAGGAAATAAAGGCTAAGGCCAACTTGCAGGCTGTCTTAATGTTGAAGATATGCCCCAGCAAACACACAAAACCCTACACCACAAAGACTACTACAAATACTTCATCCATTCATCTATTGACAGATACTTAGGTTGACTGTGAATAGTGTTAAAATAAACACGGGACTGCAGATATCTGTATGACATAATGATTTCCTTTCTTTTGGATAAATACCCGGCAGTGGGATTACTGAATCATATGGTAGTTGTATTTTCACTTTTTTTGAGAAACCTCCATACTGTTTTCTTTAAGGGCTATACTCATTTACATTTCCACCAACAGTGTATGAGTGTTCTCATTTTCTGGCATCCTTGCTAACTTTTGTCACTTCTTTGCCTTTTCGACAACAGCCATTCTAAATTGGGTGAGATGGTATCTCAATGGGATTTTGATTTGCATTTCCTTGATTACTAACGATGTTTGGCATTTTTTTATATACCTCTTGGCCATTTGTATGCCTTATTTTGAGAAATGTGCATTCAGGTCTTTTGCCCATTTTAAATTAGATTATTGCTATTATTTGCTATTGCTTGAGTTCCATATATATTCTGGGTATTAATCCTTTGTAAGATGTATAGTTTGCAAATATTCTCCCACATTCTGTACATTCTTTCTTCACTTTGTTGATTTTTTCCTTTGCTGCAAAGAAGAGTGAAAAAGGATTGTTTCTTTTGGTGTGCAGAAGAGTAAGCAAACAATTTCATTCTTTCACAATATTGGTCATGCTCTTGTTTTGAGTTTGATGTAATCCTATGTGCCTACTTTTGATTTTGTTGCCTGTACTTTTGAGGTGTTACCCAAAAAATCTCTTAGTCCAGCAAATGTCCTGTAGTAATTCCCCAATGCTTTTTTCTAGTAGTTTAACAGCTCAGGGCTTAAATTTAAGTCTTTAATCTATTTTGAGTTGATTTTTTAATATAGTGAAAGATGGGGATCTAGTTTCATTCGTGGGCATATGGATATCCAGTTTTATTTATTAAATGTTTATAATTTATTAAAATTTATTAAAGAGACTGCCTTTCCTTTAATATATGATCTTGAAACTTTGTTGCAAATGAGTTAGCTATAAGTGTGTGGATGTATTTCTGGATTCTCTGTTCTGATCCACTGGTCTATATGTCTGTTTTTATGCCAGCACCACGATGTTTTGATTACTGTATCTTTGTAGTATAATTTGAAGACAATTACTGTGATTCCTCCAGATTTATTCTTTTTGCTCAGGATTGCTTTAGCTATTGAGGTCTTTTGTCATTCCATACACATTTTAGAATCTTTTTCTATTTCTGTAAAGAATGTTATTGGTATTTTAATAGAGAATGCATTGACTCTTTAGGTTATTTTGGGTAGTATAGACATTCTAACAGTAATTCTTTTAACCCATGAGCATGGGATATCTTTCTTTTTGTTTGTGTGTGTAGGTCCTCTTTGATATCTTTCTTCATTGTTATATAGTTTTGTTCATAAAGATCTTTAACTATTTTGGTTAAATTTGTTCCTAGGTACTTCATTTTTTTGAAGCTATTGTAAATGGGACTCCTTTCTTGATTTCTTTTTCAGATTGATTACTATTAATTTATAGAGATGCTACTAATTTTTGTTTGTTGATTTTATATCCTGCAACTTTACTGAATTTATTGGTTCTACAGTTTTTTTTTTTTGGTGGGGTCTGTAGATTTTTCTAAATGTAAGATTATGTTGTCTTCAAACAGATAATTTGACTTCTTCCTTTCTAATTTGGATGCCCTTTCTTTCTTTCTCTAGCCCAATTGCTCTGACTAGGAATTACAATACAGTGTTGAACAGAAGTGGTGAAATTAGGTATTTTTGTTTTATTTCAGATCTTAGTCATATGGCTTTCAATTTTTTTCAGTATATTAGCTCAGTATATTAGCTGTGAGTTTGTCATATATGGCCTTTGAGGCATTTTCCTTCTATACTCAATTTGTTGAGAGTTTTTAGCACGAAGGGATGTTAAATTTTACGGAACGTTTGTCACATCTTTTAAAAATGATCATATGGATTTTGTCCATGATTCTGTAATGTATCACATTTGTTGATTTGCATAAGTTGAACTATCCTTGCATCTATGGGATGAATCCCACTTCATCATGGTGAATGATCTTTTTAATACACTGTTGAACTTGGTTTGCTAGTATGTTGTTGAAAACTTTTGCTTCCACATACATAAATGATATTAGCCTGTAGTTTTCTTTTTTTCATTTTGTTTTTATCTGGTTTTGGTATCAGGGTAATGCAAGCCTTGTGGAATGAATTCAGAAGCATTCTCTCCTCTTCAATTTTAATAGTTTGAGTAGGATTGATATTAATTCTTTACATGTTTGGTAGAATTCAGCAATGAAGCCATTGGGTCCTGGGCTTTTCTTCACTGAGAGACTTTAAAAAATTTTTTTGAGACAGGTCTTGCTCTGACACCCATGCTGGTGTGCAGTGGTGCAATCTCACTGCAACTTCTGTCTCCTGGGCTCAACTAAACCTCCCAATTCAGCCTTCCAAGTACCTGGGGCCACAGACATGCACTACCATACCCAGCTATTATTTTGTAATTTTAGTAGAGACAGAGTCTCACCATGTTGCCCAGGCTGGTCTCAAACTCCTGAGCTCAAGTGATCCACCTGCCTCAGCCTCCCAAAGTGCTGGGATTACAGGTATGAGGCAGCACACCCAACTGATCCTTTTTATTACAGCTTCAATCTTGTTGCTCATTATTGGTCCATTCGGGTTTTCTATTTCTTCCTGACTCTATCTTGGTACGTTCTATGTGTCCAGAAATTTACCCACTTTTTCTAGGAATTCCAACTTTTAAGTTAGAGGCACAGCAGAACTATCTTTCAAAGAGTAATAGGTTCAGTAAATTAAGATGAAGTTAGTAGGTTAGGCTGAAGTAGCAGACAAGCTAAGCTGGTGTCTAGGAGAAGGGAAAACTTTAATAAATAGAAAGTTTAGATTCATGTAGTCTCCACAGACTATAGACAAAAGAAAAGGTCAGGATTTGAGAATCTTCAGAAGTGATTGATTAGAGTGGACAATTTGGGCCAAAGTACAGATTGCTGGCTATAAGTCATACAGAATAAACCAACCACCTTGGTACAGAGTAGATTAGAGCCGATAAAAAGCCAAAACAAACAAACAAACAAAGAAACAAACAAACAAAAAAACACTTTCTAAGTACATATTAGGTACTGAGCACCACTGTAACTGATGTTTTCCAAAAGTCAGAGCTTCGTTTGATATTTTCTCACAACTATATATAGATGTTTTATCCTTGAGGAAGACTTTATTTCCTTGTAGTTAGCAAAATTACCACAGCCTACTAACAGTTCCATGCATATATTAGATACTCAGTTGGTGCTGTTTGAGTTCTGGAATAAATTTATTACATTTTACTAAATTAAAATTTCTCAGCTAAATACTGAATATGTTTCCTAGGCCAAGGCCTCTTTAAGCAACATTTAAGAGTGGACCCAGTTACTCTTTATATCTCCAAACCATCATCAGAGACTTTTTAGAGCAGCAGAAACAGAAAGTATTTCTCACATAAAAATAGAAATTCCAAATTCTATGTTTGCTTTATCCCCATTCTTTATTCTGCCTAGATATTTTACAGTTGCATCACCAAGCTATAGCATGCAATCGTAATCTGATGTGTGTTGGTGAGTATAAACACATTTCTGAATAATGCTATTATTTTAGAAAATAGCTGCTCAATACATTTGTGAGATGAAGCAATTACGCTCTCTGAACTAATTAAAAACACGTTACATATGTGTATGTACATGTGTGTATATACACACACACTCACACATACATAAAGAGACAGAGAGAAAAATTGTATACACCTATTCTAGGTGTAACCATGAGCTTAATGAAATGAACCCTAAAAAAAAACTTGCAACATCTACATTTAGGCCTTGAATAAAATGAGAAGTATGAGCGTGGGCAACACCCAACCATACTAAGAGGCAAGTTTGTCTAGCTGGGTATCATTAAGGTGACAGGAATAGCCTTTATTTCACAAATTGTGGCAATGATGTGGAAGGACGGACATAAGGAAAGAAAGAAATAAGAAAGGAAGCTACTTCCGTGAAAATGGCCTACCTCATCCGCAGTAATATCAATTCTAAACCATCTTCCCACTGCCAGCTGTTTTCCTGGTTCTCTGTCATATACTTATGCTAGCTTAACTTAAATTATATTAGCTTACAAAAGATAGTAGAGTAGAAAGTATAGACAGAGAAACTAGGTTCTAATCTTTGCTTTATATAAGAGACCCAGGTCACTGTCTTTTGGGGCCTGAGTTTCTTTATCAGTGAAGTGAGGCAGTTATCCTGCATAATCATCTCTCAAGTTCCCTGTGGCTCCAAGATTCTTTGTTTTAGTTAACAGAAATTCTGGGATGATGAGAACATTCTTAAAAAGTATTTCATTAGAATTTCTGGAATTGATTTTATAGATGTCAGTGAATATTGATGGTAGAAAAGAGGACAGTAAAACAAATTCCTGTACGCATGGATTAAATGCATTCATAGTGGTTTGGTCTGAATAAGAGAATAACAAATCAAAAATTCCTTTAAAAACACAAGTAGTAGGAGGGGGACAAGTTGTTCTTAGATAATTAGGATATTGAAGTCTAGCCTCTTGTGTGTTTCTCATTTAAATAAATTTATTTTTTTCAAAAACAAACTTTTAGGCTTCTAAGCAAAGATATGAAGGCCTCCCTGATGGCTTCCACTTGAAGAGTCCTTTCCATCCTCCCACTTTCTGTTGGCCTTCACACCTCTCCCATGGCCCATATCACGTTCCACACAACATTGTAATTATAAATACAAATGTTATTTTTCTAAGTAGACCATGGGCTTCTTGAGATTATTTATCTTTGATGTTGCAGATCCTGGTACCTTACAAATAGGAGACACTCGGTAAAAACGAATGAGGAATGAAGGAATGGGGAGGAAGGAAGAAAAGGGAAGGATGAAGGGAAAGAAGAGGGAGGAACAAGAAACACACATATGTAGCAATATATTCAATGGCATCTAGTTCATTAAAAGAGTTAATGACCCCTAACTATAGGAATGATATACAAAGTAAGGAGAAATGCATCCAACAGGATACTCGGCTTGATCAAGCTAAGGCTTGATTCTCTTTGGAGAAGAGATGATCAGGCACATCATCAAAGAGAATAAAAAACCTGTTGAGCCCGACCAGGTTCATTTAAGGTGCTAGACACGCCATGACACTTCCCACAGACCCTGGTTATGAATATCACAGATAAATATTTCCTATTCCTTCCTCTCAACTCACAATCATTTTCCATAAATCTTCTTTAAAGATAGTGTTTAATCAGAACAGGGCAAGATTTGGACTAGATACAAGCTGAACACTTCCGCTCCCACCATATCCCTTGGTATCAGAAGCTGCAAAAGGAAACTAAAATACAAACAAAGCAAGTTTTTTAAAATTTGTATATTCCTCTAAATAAGTATTAGCACAACTACAGAAAATCAGTAGCTTATCATCCACAAGAAAGAAAAAAATTAAGATTTAATTCTTAAAGACAAACCTACTCAACTCATTGTCATTTATAGCTACAACCAAATAACTGCAATCTTCATCTCAGGCAACAGGAAAGAAACAATACAATGTGACACTTTCTTCTCTTCCTCTGTCCTACAAATGTCTTGACCACATGACTACAAAAGAAAGAGGAAAACACTATCAGCAATCAAAGCCAAAGGGCATTTTTTTTTTACCTTACATCAAAATAAACTCAAATTATTACAGTCTACTTTGACCAAATAACACATGGTGATGTGTTTCATTACAAACTATTGAAAGATTATTTTGTGGAGGAAAATTGCAATTCTAGACAATAAACACTTCAAATGGGGCAACATTTCAGAGGCCAGAACCGCTACTTCGTACTCCAACTCCCCCTCCAATATTCCACATTCATTAGTTTTGGTCATCAAGCTGTCACAACAGTTGGCAAGATGGGATTCAACATAGACAATGGGATTCAACAATTTCATCTAGAGAGACGACGAAATTGAACCTCTGGTGAAATTCAAAGAACCTCTTGAAACTTAATGAACACCCTATCCATTTGAACAAATGAAAGCTTAAATTAGATTGCTCTAGGATCTCAATGTTAAATATGTGTACAACTTAATTAACTGATACTTACATTGTCCCCCATCACCTTTTTTTTTTTTACTTCACTCCTTTTTAAGAAAACTGAATCCTAGGCAAATGAGGTAATGATGGAATGTTACATGGATTTTAGATGGAGCAACTCATCAGTAGATCAGATGAAGAGATCACAGAAGGTCAGAAGTAAACCTCTCTTTTCGGAGTGCAGCAGCTGCTTCTAAGAGCTGACTGGGACCTCCATGAAACCCAAACGGGTGGAGAATCAAACTGAAACTGAATAGCCCAAGCTCAAGAGTCATGCCTGGAGCTCAGGAATCACATGGCTGGACCCTGTTTCCTGTTCCATACACTAAGCCTAACGTGGCTAATGTCATCAGACTTTTGCTCTATTTCAAAAGGACCCCACAAATGGTTTTTCCAGGGAGATTTGAGCACACCCCTAAATTCAGGACTTCATTAACACGTGACACTGAAGGTGAAAACAAAAACTCTAGGTCTCTGATATCAAAAGCCTGAAACCCAGATAAATTTTTTGGCTTAAATTTATCTGGATATTTGCCTAGGTTTGCTACTTCACTTACAAGCATGAACTAGGCAAAACTAAATGCAGCAATCTTCTTGAACTCTGTGGTGTTAGTACTTGTCCTTCACTCAGAGTAATTCAGCTGTCACTTTTCAAAAATCCAAAAGGCCTTGCATAAGGTCAAATACATTTACATGTCTGCATTCTTAGTGTCATGGAGACTGACACTGGCCATCTGCAGGTACTTAAGGAAAAGCAGAACGAGTGGACCCTCTCCGATTTAAAACACAGTTACTCTTAGGATGACTTAATATTTAAAGGAATGAGTGAAACAAAGTGGATATGAAAGTAGAGAATGAAGAAGAAATTTGGGTATTTGACCCTAGGTTTACTACTGTGGTGAGATCCTTAGCAAGTCACCTAAACGGGGCTCTTTGGGCCCTGTTACCTAATGTGCAAAAATAAAGAAGTTGATCTGATGGTAATGTGTTTTATGCCTCAAAGATTCTTAGAAAAAAGTTGATATTGTTAGAGATAGGACATCTAAATTTAGTTTTAGCCCCTACGTTCTCTATGATTTTTATCTTTTAAAAAAATCAAACGGAATGAGAAAAATACTTGTTAACATAGTCTTCTATGATGAGAAGTGAGAGTCTCAGTCACTGAGAAAATGTCATAATAGCAAAGTATCTTGGGATATTAGTTAATATGAGTTTTGCCTCAAAAAACATTCTCAACTCAATTGAATTAAATAAGATGGAATTTCTGTGTATGTGTGTTTGTGTGTGTGTGTCTGTCTGTCTCTATCTCTCTCTCATTACAAGATTTTTAGAAGTAGAGCAACTAAAAAATGTTATCCAAGACCCAGGTTTTTAATATTTTTTCAACACTGTTACTTCTAGAAAATGTGCCTTTTCTTATAACCAGCTCTTCTCATGCTTACAAGACAGCTGCAGCAGCTCCAGGAATCATATCTTCATAACACTGTCCAGCAGATAAACAGGAGCTATGTCATCCCTTTTCTGTTTGTCTCATTGTATCAGAAAAATAAAACATTTCCCAGAAGTTTCTAGCATATTTCTAGTCATGTCTCAGACCAAATTTTGACTTCTGCTTGTTTCTGTATCAATCTTTAAAATGAAAAGGATGACCAGAATTGGATTAGCTCAATTGTAGATTCATGCCCTGGCCCTGGCAACATGGATGACTTTTCCTGAAGTACGTGGCTGTGTGGAAAATCAGTGCTATTAGGAAAGCACCCACTTATGGGAATATGCTTGGAGAGGAAACCAGATTTGCTACACAGGCAAAACCTTCATAATAAATATACTATTGTGAAGGAATTAGCCAGATCAATAATCACAATAAAATTGGACCCTGCTCAAATTTTCCACTTAAGGGCATACTGAGCAAATTAAATACAATACCAAGGGAAATTGCTACCTCTTTACAGTTTCTGATGGATTTGTAGGAAAAGTTAAAAAAAATCATATAGTAGATGTCAACCTGACCTTTCCTATATAACCCTCTTGCATCTTACTGGAAGAGTAGCATGAAGAGAACAAGAGAAGTTCTAAAGTCTCAAACCCCTCACAGTCATCTATGAGGGTTAGAATAAACTTCTTCCAAACTCCTGTTAAGGCTGCTATTTTGGCCTCCTCCCATGAATGATGAATGTTCTTAATGGCATCTAGAATGGTGAATCCTTTCCAGAAGGTTTCAATTTACTTTGTTCAGATGTATCAGAAGAATCATTATTTATAGTAGCTATGGCATTAGAAAATGTATATCTTTAATATTAAAACTTGAACATAAAAGTTACTCCTTGATCCATGGGCTATAGAAAGAATGTGATGTTAGCAGGCATGAAAACAACATTAATATCCTTGAACACATCCATCAGCGTTCTTGGGTTAACAGGTGCATTGTCAATGAACAGTAATATTTTGAAAAGAATCTTTTTTCCTGAGAAGTAGGTCTCAACAGTAGGCTTAAAATATTTACTAAACCATGCTGTAAACATATGTGCTGTCCTCCAGGCTTTGTTGTCCCATTTATAGAGCAGAGTTCGTGTTGATTTAGCATTATTCTTAATGGTGCTAAGGTTTTCAGAATGGTCAATGAGTATTGGCTTCAACTTAGAGTCTTCACTTGCATTAGCCCCTAACGAGAGAGTCAGCCTGTCTTTTGAAGTCAGTTATTGACTTCTCTCTAGTTATAAATGTTCTCAATGACATATTTTCCCAGTAGAAAGCTGTTTTATCTCCACTGAAAATCTACTGCTTAGTGTAGCCACCTTCATCAATGATCTTATCTTGATCTTCTGGATAACTTGCTACAGCTTCTACATCATTACTTCCTGCCTCACTTTGCATTTTTATGCTATAGAGGCAGCTTCTTAAACCTTGTAAACCAACCTCTGCCAGTTTCCTCCTTTTCTTCTGCAGCTTCCTATCTCTCTCAGCCTTCATGGAATTGAAGAGAGTTAAGGCCTTGCTATGGATCAGGCTTTGGCTTAAGGAAATGTTGTGGATGATTTGATCTTCTCTCCAGGCCCCTGAAACTTTCTCCAGATCTGCAATAAGGCTGTATAATTTTCTTGTCATTTATGCATTCACTGGAGTAGCAATTTTAATCTCCTTCAATAACATTTCCTTTGCATTAACAACTTGACTTTTGTTTCTGGTGCAACAAGTCTAGCTTTCAGCCTATCTTGGCTTTCAACATGCCTTCCTCTTTAAGCTTAATCATTTCTAGCTTTTGATTTAAACTGAGACACTTACAACTCTTCCTTAGAGACCACTGTACCATTATTAATTGTCCTAATTTTAATATTGTTATGTCTCAGAGAATAGGGTGGTCCAAGGAGAGAGGGAAAGAGGGGAAAACAGCTCATCATTGGAATTGTCAGAACACCCACAGAACTAATCAGTTAAATTTGCTATCTTATATGGGTGTGCTTCATGGCACCACAAAACAATTACAATTGTAACATCAAAGATCACTCATCACAGATCACCATAGCAGATATAAAGGAGCTGGAACTATTATGAGAATTACTAAAATGTGACACAAAGATATAAAGTGAATATATGCTGTTGGAAAAATAGTGCTGATGGAAGTGCCCAATATGGGGTTGTCATAATCCTTCAATTTGTTTTTAAAAAAACCCCACAGTATCTGCAAATCACAATAACGTGAAGTGCAAGAAAATGATGTATCCTAATCCCTTTTTCACAGCACAGTTCCCTGAGGCCAGAGCATCCTTCCTGGTCTTTTTCCTGGGAGCAATAGAATGCTGGGTACTGTTAGTGGAAGCAGAGGGGCTTCTTTAAGATTGAGAAATCAGAATATGACTGGATAGAGAAGCTTAGGTAAATCTGACCCACTCATGTTTACTCTATTTGTTTCAGAAAAGTAGAGAAGACAGCTCACGATAGCAATTATAAAGGCACTGGTAAAAAAAGAACGCATAATGGTCAGGTCTCCAAGTCCCCTAAGCCTCACCTCACATGACTAACAACTTCACACCAGGAAACCTCAAGGAGGCTTGCCACTGTCTCCCACCCAACTTCTGTAGGTCATCCTAAATGCAGCAAGGTGAGCCCCTCTGAAAATCTATACTCCTTCACTCTTAGCCTTTACTGTTCTGATAATCTTCACCTTCCCTATCCCCAAGAAGTTGTCACCCTCTGCCTCTTGCCTGAAGAATCTATCTTCTATCCTGGTCCTTGCAGGGCGGTGAGTCTCCCATCAGGTTACTTAACTGTTTATGTCTGCTGCTGGAATTCTGAAGGCCCCATGATGAGCCAATGCCATGGTGCCCAGCAGAGGAGCAGATAGATGCCTTTGAGAACCCCCAAATTCTGGATCATAACTGGGAACATACCAAGGAAAACAGTCTCATTGTATACACACAGTAGGGAAAGAGGTAGAAAACTAGCTTAAGAAAAGTTTAGAGAAGGAAGGTAGGGTGCATCTCTGGAGTTGCCCTGCTGCCACCCAGGAATGCCTGTGTGAAAGTCCCAAAAAACTATTCTACTCATCAAGCTGGATTTTTCCAAGTCATTCTTCAGTCTCTCAGCTCCTTCACAGTTTAGGGATACCTTCTTCTATATAGTCCCAGTTGTTTTCCCCTAACAGTCCTCGAGCTCCACATTTGCCACTTGCCTAGAGCCACAATTATTCATTCCTCTACACTCACCCAGGCCTTTGCGCTTATCATTACTTATGTTTGCAACACTCTGCCCTAGAAAGACATAAGGCTCACTTCCTCACTTCATTCAGGTCTCTGCTCTAGTGTTTCTTTCTCAGGGAGGAGACAGATGATCTTCCTAAAGAAACACCACCCTGTCAGTCTCCATCACCTGCCAGGTTATTTTCTTTATAGCACTTTTCACTACCTGTCAAATTTGTTTGTCTTCCATTCCCCATCCAATTCCAACACCAAAATATAAATTCCATGAAAGCAGGGATTTTTTTTCGTTTACTGAGATATCTTTAGGGCCTATAACAGAGCCTGGCACATACCAGTTGCCCTGTAATTACTGACTGGATGATTCTTCCACCTCCTGGTGCACTACCAACATTTCCAGAAGACTCATTTCTGTTCTTCTTTAACATTTCTTCCACGATGCTTCTCTTGACCTTTTCAATTTTTGCTGAAGTTGCTTTAACATTAGCTCATTCAGATTCATGTATTATGAGATAAGACCCCCCAAAAAACTGATTTAAAAGTGTTTCTGAGAGAAACACTTTCAAAATGGAAATCCATCCTTAAAAAATCTTCTCTGGCATAAAAGCAATGAGAAAACTGACAAAAATGGTCACAATCAACTGCTTCAAAAATCTGGAAATTAACCAGTTGCAAAACCTCCAAGGAGCATTTAATCAAGAAAAATGGCTGAATCTCAGTAAGTACAGCAAGCTTATGGCTCACTTCCCCGGCTCAGCTCTGTGGTAGCATAGTAAATCCACAGCCTCTGAAGCATGATGGCTGTGAAGACTATCAGCCTAGCAGATGGTGCCTGATCATCCTCCCTATGCATGGTCTCAAGATCATATCACTCAATGTTTCAGCAACTTACCTAGTTTACAAATTTTGACCAATCTCTCATCTCACCAGATCTCTCTAATCTCTGCCCTAAAACCACCTTAAGATAAAGCTAAGGCCTCCAGCACCCTCCAGTCCCGTCATGTTTCCCTAACTTTCTCTTTTAGAGATGCCGTGAGATGCTGTTGTCAAGATGGTAATCTTCCTTGGCAGTAAGCTTAATAAACCCAGCTTTCTATGATCAATGGTCATTTCTACTGGCCTTTTCCAGGGTCTTGGACATCATCCAACTTGACACTTGTTTTCTTGCCTCTGACTCTTACTAACCTGTGAATCAGGAGCTACTTCTTTTTTTCTCTGTCACCAAGTTAAGCACAATCTTGGAATAAAGTAGACACTAAGTCAATGTTTATTGAATGATTGAGTTTATGCAAGATAGAAACTTGGTAGATTTAAATCTGGAGTTTAGTTTGCATTTTGTTTCAATTGGAAGTTAAATACCTGGGTCCATATTTCTTTGCCTACTCAGTGAAAGAATAGAAGCAAAGGCAAAGAACACAGGAACAGAACAAAATGCCAAGAATGTTTGCTTTAAAGTATATACAGCAGCACAACAGGAAAGACCTTGAGCCATGCTGCGTGGTAATGGGCAGAGACTGTCACCTCAAATTCTTTCATAAACATTGAGTCATGGCCTACAATGCACAAATCTATCATGCAGTAAATAGCAAATGATAAATTTGACATAACGTTTGTTTCTTTTGAGGAAAACATTATATAAGTGATCAAGTTAGTGGCGAAGAGAGCCAACTTGAGTGGATTTCAAACAGTAAGAAAATTAAATGCTCTGTTACTGCTCCCCAACTTTTAAATGCAGACTTTATAGTCTTTTATTTTAACTCTGTTTGTGGAGACACAGGTAAAGAATATTTCTCTATTCAAGATAAACAACAATGCAGTGATAAACAAAAGCCAACCCTAGGTGTTAGTGTTAGGAGTTAGTGGGGAGTGATAGAGACTACACAGAAATGGGAGTGCCCTTTCTAAATGAGAGGAGCCGCCACATAGAAAACAAACCTGGCACTACCATCCCCCTCTTCATTTCCTAAAAAAAAGAACATTAATTTTTATGTGAGATATCCCAATATTTAAATTTTGATTTACATTTAATAAGGGAAAAGGAAAAAAATAAGAAAGAGAAGGGAAAAAAGAAAACAAAGAAGGCCAGGTGCAATGGCTCATGTCTACAATCCTAGCAGTTTTGGGAGGTTGAGGCAGGAGGATTGCTTGAGCCCAGGAGTTCGAGACCAGCCTGGGAAACATAGTGAGACCCCTGCCTCTACAAAAAAATAATTTAAAAATAATCAGCCAGGCATGGTGACACGTACCTGTGGTCTCAGCTATTTGGGAGGCTGAGAGGGGAGGATTGCTTGAGCTACAGAGTCTGAGGCTGCAGTGAGCTGTGATCATGCCATTGAAATCCAGCCTATATGACAGAGCGAGACCTTGTCTTAAAAAAAAAGGAAAGAAAAGAAAGGGAAGAGAAGAAAGAAGCACTGTGAAAGCCAAATAAAATGTGTCTGAGGACCACCAATTTCCACACCTGCTCTAGTCTACCTGCCACTTGCACCGATGTAGAAATTTACATGAAGAGAGGAAATGTGACTGGTCAGGATCAAGGAACCAGATAGAATCCAGGTGGTTTTATTTCTATGGCTCTCTTCTTCTTAGTACATCTTCATAGCCTCGCTAGTCATATAACCACAATCTCATCCACACAAGCATTTTCTTATGGCTCTTTAAAATCTGTCTCCTGGAAACGTAGTGCACTGACAGAGTAGCAGCACTCTCATTGCTTAGGAAAAGAAGAGCACGAGGGAGCACACACTTCTCTTCCCCACAAAGTACTCAGTGAGCCTTTGCCTTCTAGGAGGCCCACTTCCTGAATCCTTTACAACATGGCCCAAGGGGCCAGAGAGTGCTCAAAGGAAATAATTGTTATTTTTACATCTTGCCATCAAGCTTAGCCTGGTACAGTAATTTTCCTCTCAGGCTCTCACAGCATTTTAGAAATATCCATCTCATCTCATATGCTCCCTAAATAAGGTTGCACAGGAAAATATTAGTCATATTGATGAGGATGAGGTATGGACAGTAGAAAACTTTAGACCTGGTAAATAGAAATAAAAGCTAAGAGAGAAACAACAACAAGAGCAAATCCTGATGTGTTAGGCCCTCTCTTCTTTTATTTCCTAAAAAAGTTATTATTCGTAAAGCTACTTCTGAGACCTGTTTACTGAGCTGTCTTTAAACAGAGATTATGACACTGCCGTGAGTTTAATTTCAGAAACTCTTTCTAAAATTTTATAATTTCTTAATTTCATAGCTCTTTCTAATGACACTCTGATTTACTAACTGCTTGCCCATTTTAATAGCTGCGGTCCTTTTTTGATTCCAGTGTGAGTTAAAAGAATCTTAAGAAAGGTTGTGATTTTTTTGGTTCCAAGATGGCCAAATAGGAACACCTCCGGTCTCCAGCTCCCAGTGTGATCGATGCAGAAGATGGGTGATTTCTGCATTTCCAACTGAGGTACCTGGTTTATCTCATTGGGACTGGTTGGACAGTGCGTACAGCCCATGGAGGGTGAGCCAAAGCGGGGGGGGGGGAGGGGCGTCGCCTCACCTGGGAAGTGCAAGGGGTCAGGAAATTTCCCTTTCCTAGCCAAGGGAAGCCGTGACAGACTATCTGGAAAAACGGGGCACTCCTGCCCAAATACTGTGCTTTTCCCAAGGTCTTAGGAACCAGCAGACAAGGTGATTCTCTCCTTTGCCTGATTCGGTGGGTCCCATGCCAATGGAGACTTGTTCACTGCTAGCGCAGCAGTCTGAGATTGATATGCAAGGTGGCAGCCTGGCTGGGGGAGGGGTGTCTGCCATTGCTGAGGCTTGAGTAGGTAAACAAAGTGGCTGGGAAGCTCAAACTCAGCTCAACAAGGCCTACAGCATCTAGACTCCACCTCTGTGGGCAGGGCATAGCTGAACAAAAGGCAGCAGACAACTTTTGCAGACTTAAACGTCCCTGTCTGACAGTTCTGAAGAGAGGAGTGGTTCTCCCTGCATGGTGTTCGAACTCTGAGAACGGACAGACTGCCTCCTAAAGTGGGTCCCTGACCCCCGTGTAGCTGAAGTGGGAGACACCTCTCAGTAGGGGCCGACTGACACCTCATATAGGCAGCTGCCCATCTCGGACGAAGCTTCCAGAGGAAGGATCAGGCAGCAATATTTGCTGTTCTGTAATATTTGCTCCTCTGCAGCCTCTGCTGGTGATACCCAGGCAAACAGGGTCTGGAATGGAACTCCAGCAAACTCCAATAGACATGCAGCTGAGGGGACTGTTAGAAGGAAAACTAACAAACAGAAAGGAATAGCATCAACATCAACAAAAAGGTCATCTACACTGAAACCCCATCTGTAGGTCACCAACATCAAATACCAAAGGTAGATAAAACCACAAAGATGGGGAGAAACCAGAGCAGAAAAGCTGAAAATTCTAAAAAATGAGAGCACCTCTTCTCCTCCAAAGATTGCAGCTCCTTGTCAGGAACGAACAAAGCTGGATGGAGAATGACTTTGATGAGTTGACAGAAGTAGGCTTCAGAAGGTTGGTAATAACAAACTTCTCTGAGCTAAAGAGGATGTTCAAACCCATCGCAAGGAAGCTAAAAACCTTGGAAAAAGATTAGACGAATGGCTAATTAGAATAAACAGTGTAAGGAAGACCTTAAGTGACCTGATGGAGCTGAAAACTATGGCATGAGAACTTCGTGACACGTGCACAAGCTTCAATAGCCAATTCAATCAAGTGGAAGAAAGGGTATCAGCGATTGAAGATCAAATTAATGAAATAAAGCAAGAATACAAGGTTAGAGAAAAAAGAGTAAAAAGAAATGAACAAAGCCTCTAGGAAATATGGGACTATGTGAAAAATCCAAATCTACATTTTATTGGTGTACCTGAAAGTGATGGGGAGAATGAAACCAAGATGGAAAACACTCTGCAGGATATTACCCAGGAGAACTTCCCCAACCTAGCAAGGCAGGCCAACATTCAAATTCAGGAAATACAGAGAACACCACAAAGATACTCCTCGAGAAGAGCAACCCCAAGACACATAATTTTCAGAATCACCAAGGTTGAAATGAAGGAAAAAGTGTTAAGGGCAGCCAGAGAGAAAGGTTGGGTTACCCACAAAGGGAAGCCCATCAGACTAACAGTGGATCTCTCAGCAGAAACCCTACAAGCCAGAAGAGAGTGGGGGCCAATATTCAACATTCTTAAAGAAAAGAATTTTCAGCCCAGAATTTCATACCCAGCCAAACTAAGCTTCATAAGTGAAGAAGAAATAAAATCCTTTACAGACAAGTAAATGCTGAGAGATTTTGTCACCACCAGGCCTGCCTTACAAGAGCTCCTGAAGGAAGCATTAAACATGGAAAGAAACAACCGGTACCAGCCACTGCAAAAACATGCCAAATTGTAAAGGCCATTGATGCTATGAAGAAACTGCATCAATTAATGGGCAAAATAACCAGCAGACATCATAATTACAGGATCAAATTCACACATAACAATATTAACCTTAAATGTAAATGGCCTAATGCCCCAATTAAAAGACACAGACTGGCAATTTGGATAAAGAGTTAAGACCCATCGCTGTGCTGTATTCAGGAGACCCATCTCACATGCAAAGATGCACATAGGCTCAAAATAAAGGTATGGAGGAATATCTACCAAGCAAATGGAAAGAAAAAAAAAAGCAGAGGTTGCGTCCTAGTCTCTGATAAAACAGACTTTAAACCAACAAAGATCAAAAGAGACAAAGAAGGCCATTACATAATGGCAAAGGGATCAAGTCAATTCAACAAGAAGAGCTAACTATTCTAAATATATATGAACCCAATAAAGGAGCACCCAGATTCATAAAGCAAGTCCTTAGAGACCTACAAAGAGAATTAGACTCCCACACAATAATAATGGGAGATTTTAACACCCCACTGTCAATATTAGACAGATCAATGAGACAGAAGGTTAACAAGGATATCCAGGACTTGAACTCAGCTCTGCAACAAGCAGGCCTAATAGACATCTACAGAACTCTCCACCCCAAATCAACACAATATACATTCTTCTCAGCACCACATCACACTTATTCTAAAATTGACCACATAATTGGAAGTATAGCACTCCTCAGCAAATGTAAAAGAACAAAAATCACAACAAACTCTCTCTCATACCACAGTGCAATCAAATTAGAACTCAGGATTAAGAAACTTACTCAAAACTGCACAACTACATGGAAACTGAACAACTTACTCCTGAATGACTACTAGGTAGATAACGAAATGAAGGCAGAAATAAAGATGTTCTTCGAAACCAGTGAGAACAAAGACACAACATACCAGAATCTCTGGGACACATTTAAAGCGGTATGTAGAGGGAAATTTATAGCACTAAATGCCCACAGGAGAAAGCAGAAAAGATCTAAAATGGCAAACACATTCAAAAGCTAGCAGAAGGCAAGAAAAAACTAAGACCATAGCAGAACTGAAGAAGATAGAGACACAGAAACCCTTCAAAAAAATCAATGAATCCAGGAGCTGGTTTTTTCAAAAGATCAACAAAATTGATAGGCCACTAGCAAGACTAATAAAGAAGAAAAGAGAGAAGAATCAAATAGATACAATAAAAAATGATAAAGTGGATATTACCACCGATCCCACAGAAATACAAACGACCATCAGAGAATACTATAAACACCTCTATGCAAATAAACTAGAAAATCTAGAAGAAATGGATAAAATTTTGGACACACCCTTGCAAGACTAAACCAGGGAAGAAGTTGAATCTCTGAATAGACCAATGACAGCTTCTGAAATTCAGGCAATAATTAATAGCCCACCAACCAAAAATAGTCCAGGACCAGACGGATTCACAGGCAAATTCTACCAGAGGTACAAAGAGGAGCTGGTACCATTCCTTCTGAAACTATTCCAATCAATAGAAAAAGAAGTAACACTCCATAACTCATTTTATGAGGCCAACATCATCCTGATGCCAAACACTGGCAGAGACACAACAACAACAAACAAGAGAATTTTAGACCAATATCCCTGATGAACATCGATGCAAAAATCCTCAATATAATACTGGCAAACCGAATCCAGCAGCACATCAAAAAGCTTATCCACCGTGATCAAGTCAGCTTTATTCCTGGGATGCAAGGCTGGTTCAACATATGCAAATCAATAAATGTAATTCATCACATAAACAGATCTAACAACAAAAACCACATGATTATCTCAACATATGCAAAAGGCTTTCAACAAAATTCAACAGCCCTTCATGCTAAAAACTCTCAATAAACTAGGTATTGATGGAACGTATATCAAAATAATTAGAGCTATTTATGACAAACCCACAGCCAATATCATACTGAATGGGCAAAAACTGGAAGCATTCCCTTTGAAAACCCACACAAGACAAGGATGCCCTCTCTCACCGCTACTATTCAACATACATATGTAACAAACCTGCACGTTGTGCACATGTAAACTAAAACTTAAAGTATTATAATAATAATAAAAAAGCAAAAACAAAAAGAAAAACAAAAAACGTAGTGTTGGAAGTTCTGGCCAGGGCAATCAGGCAAGAGAAAGAAATAAAGGGTATTCAATTAGGAAATGAGGAAGTCAAATTGTTCCTGTTTGCAGATAACATGATTGCATATTTAGAAAACCCCATCATCTCAGCCCAAAATCTCCTTAAACTGATAAGCAACTTCAGCAAAGTCTCAGGATATAAAATCAGTGTGCAAAAATCACAAGCATTCCTATACACCATTAACAGACAAACAGAGAGCCAAGTCATGAGTGAACTCCCATTCACAATTGCTACAAAAAGAATAAAATACCTAGGAATCCAACTTACAAGGGATGTGAAGGACCCCTTCAAGGACAACTACAAACCACTGCTCAAAGAAATAAAAGAGGACACAAACAAATGGAAGAATATTCCATGCTCATGGATAGGAAGAGTCAATATCGTGAAAATGGCCATACTGCCCAAAGTAATTTATAGATTCAATGCCATCCCTATGAAGCTACCAATGACTTTCTTCACAGAATTGGAAAAAAACTACTTTAGAGTTCATCTGGAACAACAAAAGAGCTTGCATTGCCAAGACAATCCTACGCCAAAAGAACAAAGCTGGAGGCATCACACTACCTGACTTCAAACTATACTACAAGGCTACAGTAACAAAAACAGCATGGTACTGGTACTGAAACAGCATGGTACTGGTACTGAAACATGCAACTGGTATTGAAACAGCATGGTACTGGTACTGGTACTGGTACTGGTACTGGTACTGAAACAGATATGTAGACCAATGGAACAGAACAGAGGCCTCAAAAATAGCACCACACATCTACAATCATCTGATCTTTGACAAACCTGACACGAACAAGAAATGGGGAAAGGATTCCCTATTTAATAAATGGTGCTCGGAAAACTGGCTAGTCATATGTAGAAAGCTGAAACTGGATCCCTTCCTTATACTTTATACAAAAATTAATTCAAGATGGAGAAAAGACTTAAATGTTAGACCTAAAACCATGAAAACCCTAGAAGAAAACCTAAGCAATACCATTCAGGACATAGGCATGGGCAAGGACTTCATGACTAAAACACCAAAAGCAATGGCAACAAAAGTCAAAATAGACAAATGGAATCTAATTAAACTAAAGAGCTTCTGCACGGCAAAAGAAACTACCATCAGAGTGAAAAGGCAACCTACAGAATGGGAGAAAATTTTTACAATCTACTCATCTGATAAAGGGCTAATATCCAGAATCTACAAAGAACTCAAACAAATTTACAAGAAGCAATCAAACAACCCCATGAAAAAGTGGGCAAAGGATATAAACAGACACTTCTCAAAAGAAGACATCTATGCAGCCAACAGACACATGAAAAAATGCTCATCACTGGTCATCAGAGAACAGCAAATCAAAACCACAATGAGATACCATCTCACACCAGTTAGAATGGCAATCATTAAAAAGTCAGGAAACAACAGATGCTGGAGAGGATGTGGAGAAATAGGAATGCTTTTACACTGTTGGTGGGAGTGTAAATTAGTTCAACCATTGTGAAAGACAGTGTGGCGATTCCTCAAATATCTACAATTAGAATTACCATTAGACCCAGAAATCCCATTACTGGGTATATACCCAAAGGATTATAAATCATGCTGTTATAAAGATACATGCACGTGTATGTTTACTGTGGCACTATTCACAATACTAAAGACTTGGAACCAACCCAAATGTCCATCAGTGATGGACTGGATTAAGAAAATGTGGCACATATACACGATGGAATACTATGCAGCCATAAAAAAGGATGAGTTCATGTCCTTTGCAGGGACACGGATGAAGCTGGAAACCATCATTCACAGCAAACTAACACAAGGAGAGAAAACCAAACACCACATGTTCTCACTCATAGGTGGGAATTGAACAATGAGATCACTTGGATGCAGGGCGTGGAACATCATACACTGGGGCCTGTTGGAGGGTGGGGACCTGGGGGAGGGATAGCATTAGGAGAAATACCTAATGTGAATAATGAGTTGATGGCTGCAACAAACCAACATGGCACATGTATATCTATGTATCAAACCTGCACGTTGGGCGCATATACCCTAGAACTTAAAGTATCATAAAAAAAATTGAACAAATTTAAAAAGTAAAACTCGGAACAACAACAAAAAGCCCTGTCATCCCCAATTCAAGGTACCTAAGATAATAATCTACATGAAATACACTATTATTGGTTAAAAAAAAAAGAGGTTGTGATTATATGGCTGACATGAAAACAGGTGAATTAGAACACGGCAGGTACCTATCTGGAGCCAAAATGTTCTCAACAGGACTTATATAAATTAAAAGGTAAGTTTTTATTTCCAATACATTTCTTATTTCTCTCTTATTAGATCAACAACCATCAGTGTATCGTGATTAACACCTAAATATTTCTCAATACTATAAAAATCATCTGGGGGTATGTTAAGAATATACATTTGTGGATTTTACTTCAGACACTGTGAATTGGAATTCTCCCTAGATGATTCTGATATACACAGAGATTGAGAACAATGAAACTGGGGGAAAAAAAGCTTCACATGCTAAGAAAAAGTAGGGTCAGGGTTTTTACAGGGTGACTCAGTTTAATACATCAGAAAGTGCTGCACTCTGAGGGAACAATAGGGAAATACATTATCTACAGCAACTTGGACTCCAGCTCCTAATTATCAAGAGTAGAACCCCAAATACTTCATGAATTTCAACTGAAGCCACACGAACAAGGTGACCACCCATGGATCTGCCTTTCAGGTCTGCTGAATGACTCTGAGCAAGTCATCTAACCTCTTTGCACACTTCTAGAGTGATCATGAAGAAAGGTATTGCCTCTACGCAAAAGCATGGGGTCAGGCCGAGCATGAATACCACAGCGCCACTTATGTATCAGTATGCACAATTATATTTACATGTGTCTTTCCACTGTTTCTATTTGAGCAATAAGCTTTGATAACTAACCACAAGATTATCAAGATAGATCAAATCTAATATTGTAGACCACTTGATTAATTATGCAGAGTTCAAAACAAGAATTGGAAAAGAATTGACTGAAGACAAGTAAATTAAAGTCAGAAAAAATATTGTTGCTTATAATTTAAAAGTCCAATTACATGACAAAACTATATTTAATTTTAAGAGTAGACTTACCTTGAGTGATGTATGAGCAGAGACAAAACTATATTTACCCTATCTTAAAATTTCTATCTTGCCTTATCTAGGCTTTCTTTAGCATAACAGTGTCTCATCATAACCAAAAATTGATAGCCTGAACCAAGTTCTATTGCCCAGCCTTTAACATATTGTAGTTTTATGGATTTCTCAGTAGAGGTTTCTTCTGTATCACAAAGTTACTTATTCTGGGAGATCATTATGTTGCTGCTTCTTGATAATATTAAATCTGGTATATCTATTTCAAGGATTAAAGGATACTATCATTAAAAGATAAAATGGTACTTGAGAAGAATTTGGCATGTGATATCCATGGATAACATCTATCAGTTCATTCATTTGGTAACACATATATGTTAATTACCTAATGTGCTTTGGTCATTACCCTGGGAAATAAAATATAGTCAATAACAAGAATATCAAGTTCTCTACTCACATAGACGTTCCGTTTTACTGGAGGTGGATGATATATGAACAAACTGAATATCAATTAGTAAAAAGCACTTTGGAGAGAATTAGAATAAAGAAAAAGTAAGAGTAATTGGAAGCTTCTGTCCGGTGATCGGGGAGATCCCTCTAAAGAGGGAACATGTAAACCAAGACTAAAACCGCTGTAAGGAGACAACTCCATTACACTGAGAAAAAGAAAACTTCAGGTAAAAAAACAGCCAGTGCAAAGCCTCTAAGGCCAGAAGGAGCATGGCATGCTAGAAGGAAGGCAAGTGTGGCTAGAGCAAGATATGGTCAAAGAAGTAGGCTGCTTTGGAAACCAGAGTAAAGATTTTGGATATAAGGAGCAATTGTGTGACAATTCATGAAATCTGAATAGTGTGTATAGATAACAATACTGTATAAATGTTAATGTTTTGAGTTGTCATCACTATACTATGGTTATGTAAATGAAAGTCTTTGTTTTTAGGAAATAAACACTGATATACATATGTGAATTTATATAAGTATATATAAATGTATATGTAAAGTGACAATAATTGTATATATTCATGGGATACATAGTAATGTTTTGATATATGTCATGTATAGTGATCCAGTCAGGATTAGCATATCCATCATGTCAAACAATGATCATTTCTTAGTCTTGGGAACATTCAATACCCTCCTTCTGGCTATTTGAAATAATATATTAGTGTGAATTATAGTCACCTTATAATGCAAGAGAACACTAGAACTTACTCCTCCCATCTAGCTGTAATTTTGTATCCTTTAACAAATCTGTCCCTATCCTCTCCCTCCCCTATCCTTTACAGATTCTAGTATCCTGTATTCTATTTTTTACTTCTATGAGATCAACTTAGCTTCCACATATAAGAACATGTGGAGTTTAACTTCATTTTCTTGGCTTATTGCACTTAAAATAATGTCCTCCAGTTCCATCTATGCTGCTGTGAATTACAGGATTCCATTTTTCTATGGCTAAATAGTATTCCTTGGTATAGATATATTATCCTTTTATCTGCTGTTGCACACCTAGATTGGTTCCATATCTTGGCTACTGTGAATAGTGCTGCAATAAACATGGGGGTGCAGATTTCTCTTCAACATAATGATTTACTTTCCTTTGGATAAATTCTCAGTAGTGAGATTGCTGGATCATATGGCAGTTCTATTTTTAATTTTTTGAGTAACCTCCATACTGTTTTCTATTATGGCTGTCCTACTCTACATTCCTACCAACAGTGGACAAGCATTCCTCTTTCTCTACGTCCTCACCAGAATTTATTTTCTGTCTTTTTAACAACAAGCATCCTAACTAGGGTGAGATGATACTACATGGCGGTTTTGATTTGTATTTCTCTGATAATTAGTGATGTTAGCATTTTTCATATACCTTTTGGCCATTTGTATGTATTTTTTACTCATTTCTATTCAGGTCTTTTATTTTTAAATTGGATTTGTTTTCTTGCTGTTGAGTTCCTTATATATTCTAGCTATTAACCACTTGTCACATGAACAGGATGCAAACATTTTCTCCCTTTCTGTAGGTTGTCTCTTCGCTCTATTGATTGTTTTGCTTGCTATGCAGAGGCTTCTTCATTACATGTAACCCTATTTGTCTATTTTTGCTTTTGTTACCTGTGCTTTTGAGGTCTTATCCAAAAAAACGATTTGCACAGACCAGTTATGAAGCACTTCCCCTATTTTCTTCTGGTAGTTTCATAGTTTCAGGTCTTAGATTTAAGTCCTTAATCCATTTTGAGTTGATGTTTGGAGAGGTAGGGGTCTAATCTCATTCTTCTCCATGTGGATATCTAATTTTTCCAGCACCAGTTATTAAAGAAACTGTCCTTTCTCAGTATGTGCTCCTGGTAGCTTTGTCAAAAATGAGTTGACTTTAGATATGTGAATTTATTTCTGGGTTCTCTATTCTGAGTCTCTTCCACTGGTCTATGTGTCTGTTTTTATGTCAGTACCATGCTGCTTTGATTGCTATGACTTTGTGGTATATTATGAGGTTAGGTAGTGTGATGCCTCTAGTTTTCTTATTTTTACTCAAAATTGCCTTGAATCTTCAGGATCTTTCGTGGTTCCATATGAACTGTAGGATTTTTTTTTCTATTTCTGTGAAAAATATCACTGATATTTTGATAGGGATTGCATTTAATTTATAAATCACTTGATTAAGATGGACATTTTAACAATATTAATTCTTCCAATCCATGAACACAGACTATATTTCCATTAATTTGTGTTATTTTTAATTTTTTCATAAGTCTTATAGTATCAGTATAGAGATCTTTTACTTCCTTGGTTAAATTTATTCCTGAGTCTCTCATTTTTGTACTATCATAAATGGCATTGTTTTCTTGATATCTTTTCTAGATATTCTACTATTAGTATATAGAAACACTACTGATTTTTGAATGTTGGTTTTGTATCCTACAAGTTTACTAACGTTATCAGTTCTAACAGTTTTTTGTGGAATCTGTAGGATTATCTATATAGAAGATCATATTGTCTCTTAACAGGGGTAGTTTTACTTCCTTCTTTCTGATTTGGATGCTTTTATTTGTTTCTCTTGCCTAACTGCCCAGGGTAAGACTTCTAGCATTATCTTGAATAGAATTAGTGAAAGTGGGAATTCTCGTCTTGTTCCAGATCTAGGGGAAAAGCTCAAAGCTTTTAGTGTGGATTTCTCATGTACTGCTGTTATTATATCGAGGTACTTATCTTCTATGCCTTATTTGTTCAGAGTTATTTTCATCAAGCAGGATGTTGAATTTTGTCAAATGCTTCTTCTGTACCTACTAAAATAATCATATAGGTTTTGTCCTTCATTTTATTAACGTGATTAAAGAATGCTATTGATTTGTGTATGTTGAATCACACTTCCATCCTGGAATGAATGGCACTTGACTATGGTCAATTATCTTTTTAATGTGCTGTTAAATTGGGTTTGATAGTATTTTGTTGATGATTTCTGCATCTCCACTTATTAGGGATACTGACCTGTAGTTTTCTTTTGTTGTGTCCTTGTCTGTTTAGGGTATCAGGATAACGCTAGCCTAGCAAATAAGTTTGGAAGAATTCATTGTTTTCCTGATTTTCTTTAATTGTCCATCTTAATTCTTTTGTATCTCACTGAAGTTCCCTAAAAATTTTTATTCTTAATTCCTTTTCAATTTATAGAGTTCATTTACTTTGGGGTCAGCTACTAAAGAGTAATTATTTTCCCTTGGTGATGTAGTATTTCCCTGCTCTTTCATGTTTCCTGTATCCCTGCATTAATGTCTGCACGTCTATTGGAACAATCACCTATTCAAAGCTTTCTAGAGTGGCTTTTGTAGAGAAAGACTTTCACCTGCAGATGGATCTTAGTGTCCTGGTTTTGAAGAATATGGTAGTTCTAAGTCTGAGTGATGTAACGATGCAACTTATCCACATCTTCTTCAGCTACTGTGATCAATATTAGCAATCGCTGTGGGTGCCACAGTGTCCTAGGCTGTAGGCGTTTTTGGCAGCAGGAGTGGCAGAATCCATTGTTAGGATCCTCAGAAGCAAGGGTTTTTAAGGTCCTCTTTTTCTTGTTTTCTTCACAATGGGGAGACTTAGCTGAGGGGATCCCTCCTCGTGTTGGGTATGACATGCCCTACGAGCAGCTGCAACAGTGCTGGGTTCCAGAGTACAGTTGCCTAGAGCAGCTGTGAAGCCACAGTCCTAGGCTCAAGGTCTCAATAATGTATTATAGCATCTGGGTCTTGAAATGTAGGTTCACTCTCTGAGGAGGGTTGGATGCAGATTGCGCACAGAGCCAGGTTATCTAAGGCACCTTGTAGTAGCTTAAACCCAGAGGGCCAGGTTAGAGCTATGACTCTTACCATGGGGAGCAGGGTAAAGCACTGGCCTGGCTCTGGGGAAGAAAGAGCACTCTGGAGGTTTGGGCTTAGGGAGCCAAGTACAGCTGCAAATTTGGAACCAGAGCCAGTTAGGCTCAGGGGCAATTCAGGTCCCAGGGGATGAGGGACCCTGGACCCTGTCATGATGGGACTCAGTACTATCCCAGACTCTTTGAGGTCAGGTATGGCAGAAGCAAGAACCCTGGAGTGGAAGGGTGCAGCTGTTGTTTGGGCCCTGTGGACAGGGAGCAGCAAAATCATAATTCTACTCCCTAGGAAGAGGGATGTCTCAGCAGCTCAGAATGTAGGGGCTAGTCCAGTTCCAGAAAAGTAGAGTATTAGAGGTTGTTTGGCTTGTAGTTTAGATGTCTCAGCTTGGCCAATGATCTGTTTCCCTAGGACATGGGGTACCATGTCAACTCAGCCCTGGGATATTTGGTTGCTTGATTCCCTAGGAGGTAGGTAGTTATATTAGCTCGGACACAAGCCATATGACTGCTTTGGGTGGCAAAGGTAGTATTTTCCCAATAGACAGGACACCACTTTAGCTTAAGAACTGGGGGGGCATGACTGCTCTGGGCGGCCAAGATACCATTTCCCCAGAATGCAGGGTGCCACTTCAGCTCTGGCATAGGGGTGCAGGGTGGAGCAGTAACTGTGAAGGGTAAATGCAATGGTTCCCCCAAGGCACCATTTCCTTGAGAGGGAGTTTGTAGCTTCAGCTTGGGCCCTCTGGGACATCAGATGTCTAATAGATGAATGCTTAAACAAATGGTGGTATATCCATACCATAGACTACTACTTAAAAACAAATAAATTATTGATATATGCAACAACTTGGATGGCTCTCAAGGGAATTATGCTGAGTGAATGGAAAAAAAGGTAATCTTAAAAATGTACATACTATATGATTCAATTCATATAGCCTTCTTAAAATGAAAAAATAATAGAAATAGAAAACAAATTAGTGGTTACCAATGGTTAAAGAAAAACCCTAAAGCTTCTAGTGTAGTTAAAAAAAATGTCTCTTTTGAAAAGAAATTTCAAAACAGATTAACAGAATCCCCATAAGTTATACTGAAAGTATATGTCTAGTTCTGAAGAATAATGGTTTTTGTCCTAAAATATCATACCAATAAAGAATTATACAGTAGTGAGGAAAAATAGACTTTCAAATATACAAAGAAGCAAAAGAAAAATTACTAGCAGAATCTTCTCAAGGACTAGGATCTAAGACTTTTGTATATATGACAAAGATTTTGTCAACACAGTTAATTTGCACTCTAGTAATTGTCTAGTCAGTAGTACAATTAGTAGAAGAGAAAAATACAATGAGTTTAAAAGGTTAAACTTAGTTTAAAAAAAGATAGTATTATAGTATAAAGAGTTTATTTGTAAACAAGAATAACCACACTCTAAAACAAAAATTCCAAAGTATATGAACATAAGTGATTACCTGGAGGTGAGGGGAAAAGATGAAGAGGGATCTGTAGGTAAGGGGACAAGAAGAAGAGGAAGTGGAGGGACATTAAAAATGCTCAAGTGTTGACTTGGAGAAGAAAAATATTCGAGATGTTGTTAAAAATATATGTTTATTAATGTGTACTTTAATAACAATAGAATGTACTTTTCATGAGAGTACAATCACGTCTATCTTATTTTCTATAGAGTCTCACGGTCCAGGGTAACTAGCCCTTAGTATTTTTTGAATAAATAAGTGAATAAATGAGTATATGAATGAATTAATGAATGAGTGAATTAGCTGATTAATTTATAGTAATTCTTAACCGATTGAAAATTTTCCAAACATCAGTAACCAGAATAAATGTTAATGGGTTAAAATGTCTACTATGTAGCTATATCTAACATTCATATGAATTGTGAATGTATTACTGCTTTATAAGACATTATCTAATTTAATCCTTATATCAACCTTATGAAGCACATTATAAGAATACTTTATAATATATTAGTACTTTACACATGAAGAAACTGAGGTTCCCATTAAGTAATTTGAACACTATCTAAAGAGTGAAAATACAAATCTAGGAAATATAACACTAGAGCTCGTTGTATTAGTCTGTTTTCATGCTGCTGATAAAGACATACCTGAGAATGGGAAATATAATAGAAAAGAGTTTATTAAACTTACAGTTCCTCATGGCTGGGGAGGCCTAACAATCATGGTGAAAGGCAAGGAGGAGCAAGTCACATTTCACGTGGATGGCAGCAGGCAAAGAGAGAGCTTGTGCAGGGGAACTCCACCTTATAAAGCCATTAGATCTCATGACGCTTATTGACTATTGTAAGAACAGCATGAGAAAGACTTGCCCCCATGATTTCAATTACCTGCCCCTGGGTTCCTCCCACTACACGTGGGAATTCAAGATGAGATTCTGGTGGGGACACAGCCAAACCATATCTCACATATTCTATAAAAAGAGATATTTTGATTAATGAGATTGGATTTAAAATATTAAAAGATATAACAATTATGAATCTTCCATGCCTAACAACCTATGTGAAATAGACTAAACAGTGTAATATAAACATGCTGGCAGAAATCCATCATCATGATCATCACAAAAAAAAGACAACGATAATTTAAAAGTCTGACACTTTAAAGATTTGGCAAAATGTGTCCTTGAAACTATCTGAAGCTGTATATTTTCAGGGGGTTAAAAAGTTTACCATCTTTTTCACTTATTTTATGGTTGTGGGTTGTATGATTCACAAGTAGTACAATATTCAGTGATTCACTAGTAGGACTCAGCATGTAGTTGTTTTCAGAGCTACGGCTTATTACAGCAAAAGGATATCAGCAGGGAAAATGGCATGGTTGGAGTCTGGAAAAATTCATACGCAGACTTCCTTATGCTCTCTTCTTCCTGTGAAGGCACTCATGGGAATTGAGCACGTTCCTTTCTCAGCAATGAAAAATGCAGTAACAAATGTGCAATGTTTCTGCCCAGTGAAGCCCATTAGAGACTCAACACCCAAAGTTTTAACTGGGGTCTTGTCACATTGACAACCTTTCCCTTGCCCAAAATTTCAGATTCCATGAAGGAAAGCAAGTGTTCAGCATAAATCAAAGTGATTCCACAAACAACCTAAAGCAAAGTGAACCACCCTGATCAGTAGGGAAAGTCTCATGTCAGTTCATGGAATGGGTCAAGTGCTAAGATCCCAGACATGTGCCAAGGACCAGTTTGTAAGCAGGTCCTTATAAAGACAAAAGCTTCAGGCCTGCTATGTTAACTGTTTTCTGCACATTGATCTATTTAGTTTTCTACTTTTTGATCTGGTTTCTATATACCTAGAAAACACTCACTTGCTTAGGATTTCAAATTAAATGTTGTATTGTTGATCATCAAATTGTGTCTTTGTTCCCAATGTTGTGTGTCATTTAAAAAAAAAATCAGTCCTGTGTAAAATTTACCTTACTATTAATTTTTCCGAAAAAAAGATCTAACTTTTATTGATCAATTTAATTTTTCCTTTCTTTTCAAAAAATTATGCTTTTGTTTGTACTTATTTCTTTCAAATTTTTTTGCTCTTTTTAATCTACTACAGTTAAAAACTTAATTCAAATAAATATGAAAATATAAAACTGATTAACAACTTTTACAACAAGCTAAATAAGTAGCAGTGTATCCCCGGGAATCCCCAAATACAAATGGTTGGGAACAAATTACTAATAGACACAGACTTCCATGAAATCACCAACTGTGTGAGAGAAGATACAGGGGGAAAAACAAACACACATGAAGAGAAGCCCCAAATAAATTTCAGGATAGGAAACAGAAAAAAGACATAACAAACACAATAGCATACTTATAACCAAAGTACATCCAAAAGACACACTTGCAAAAATAAAACTGTGGCATACTATCGTTAAATGAGATTTAAAAAATTAAGAAAATGAATCAAGATTTGAAACAGAGTGTGAATCTTAATTAGTAACATTTAGAAATGAGATGACAGAATACGGAAAAAATATTACATATAAGCAAAAATCGTTTTAGAAATGTATAAACTAGAAGGAACAGAAGAACAAATAAAGACAATAGATAGGTTTAAGATATGTAAAAGAGGAAGAATTTTTTTAAAATCAAAAATAAAGAAATAGAGATATTAAGGAATTTGAGAGAAAGTGAAAATATCAAAAATAGGTAAATAAGATCCAATATCTGGGTAACAGGAATCCCTAAAGAAAAAAAAAAACTCAATGCACTGGAACAGAATACTAAAAAGTGTAATTCAAGAAAATCTTCTTGAATGTGTATATTCACACACACAAACACACACACACACAAACATACATTTTCATACTCAAAAGAGCGTACTATATAGTAGAAAACAGACTCAAAATAATTAATAATATTTCATCTTGGTAAAACTAAAGAAAAAATTTAAAAATCCTTTTGTTAACTGGGCTAAAAAAGCAAGATACTTATAGGAAAATAAAAATGATAGTTTACAATCAGACTTCAATAGCAATTCTTTATCAACATTATAAACACAGGTAATATTATAGCCATGAAGATGATTTTATTCCCACAAACCATTCCTGAGTAATCAACCAGAGAAAGAGCTTCAGACAGCCAATCTAGCAACACACTAACGTAAAGACTTGTGATGAGCATTAAATGTATTACTAATTCTAAGTGAAAGTTAAAAATGATAGTATAAATCTAATAAAATATGTACATAATTGACATGAGGAAAACTACAAAACTTTGATGAACAACATCAAATGAACTAAATAAATGGAGCGATAGTCCATGTTCATGGATATGAAGATTCAATATTGTCAAGATGTCAGTTCTTCCCAACGTGATCTATAGATTCCATGCACTCTCAGTCAAAATCCCAGCAAATTACTTTGTGGACATCAACAAACTGATTCTGAAGTTTATATGGTGAGGCACAAAACCAAGAAGAGCCAACACAATACTGAGTTTAAAAAAGTTGGAGGATTGACACTATTCAATGTCAAGACTTACTATGAAACTATAATAATCAAGACAACATGGTATTGGTGAAACAATAAGTAAGTAGATCAATGGAATAAAATAGAAAGCCCAGAAATAGGCTCTCTGTAAATTTGGTCAACTAATCTATGAGAAAAGAGCAAATACAATACACTGGAGAAAATATTGTCTTTTCAACAAATGGTGGCAGAACAATGGGACAACCATTCAAAAAATAAATCTAGATGCAGACCCTATATCTATTACACAAATTAACTCATAATAGATTATAGATCTAAATGTAAAGTGCTAGAATATTAAACTCCTAGAAGATAACATAAGAGAAAACTGATGGGGGAGGGCAAGATGGCTGACAAGAAGGAGCCAGGTGGAATAGCTCCTACTGAGGGACTGAGACAACTGACATGTTTCTAATAGATCTTCAGAGGGAAGGCACTGAGAGTGGAGAGAGGAAAGACCCAGAAGCTGGAGGTATGAGGGGGAAGGCTGGGAATCCTATACAGGACTATAGCACACCCAGACTTGTTCCTGGCCCTCAGTGGCTCTGGGGGAACAGGTGAGCTGAATTATATAATTATGTTGGTTTAGACCAACAAAGATAAAAAATACAAAGAAGGGCATTACACAATGGTAAAACATTCAATTCAACTAGAAGATTTGACTATCCCAGATGCACATGCAACCAACAAAGGAGCACTCAGATTCATAAAGCAAGTTCTTAGAGACCTTCATAAAGACAGACTCCTACATAATAATACTGGGAGACTTTAACACCTCACTGACAATATTAGATCATCAAAACAGAAACCTAACAAAGATATTCAGGACCCAAACCCAGCACTGCATCAAATGTACCTCATAGACATCTACAGAACTCTCCACCCCAAAACAGAATATACATTCTTCTCATTGCCACATGGCACACACTCTAAAATCAATTATGTAATTACAAGTAAAAATGTCCTCAGCGAATGCAAAGAAACTGAAATCCTAACAATCTGTCAGACCACAGGACAATCAAATTAGAAATCAAGACTAAGAAATTCACTCAAAACTGTAAAATTACATGGAAATTGAATAACCTGCTCCTGAATGACTTTTGACTAAATAATGAAATTAAAGTAGAAATCAAGAAGTTATTTGAAACAAATGAGAATAAAGATACAAAATACAAGAATCTCTGGGACCCAGCTAAGGCAGTGTTAAGAGGGAAACTTATAGCACTAAATGGCCACATTAAATGGTTAGAAAGACAGCAATTTAAGAAACTAACATCCCAAGTAAAAGAACTAGAGAACCAACAGCAAAACAATCCCAAAGCTAGCAGAAGACAAGAAATAACCAAAACCAGAGGTGAACTGAAGGATACTGAGATACGTAAAACCATTCAAAAGATCAAGGAATCCAGGAGCTGGCTTTTTGAAAAAAAAAAAAAAAAAAAATAGATCACTAGCTACAATAAAAAAGAAAAAAGTGAAGAGCCAAATAAACACAATCAGAAACAAGGAGGATATTACCACTGACCCCACAGAAATACAAATAACCATCAGATAATATTACAAATACCTCTATACACATAAACTAAAACACCTAGAAGAAATGGACAAATTCCTGGACACATACACCCAAGAGTGAACCACGAAGAAACTGAATCCCTGAACAGACCAATAATGAGCTCTAAAAATGAGTAATAAATAGCCTACCAACCAAAATAAAAAAAAACAAAAACCAGGACCAAGAAGATTCACAGCTGAATTCTACCAGATGTACAAAAAAGAGCTGCTACTATTCCTACTGAAACGATTCCAAAAAATTGAGGAGAAGGGAATCCTCCCTAAATCATTCTATGAGACCAGCATTTTACCAAAACCTGGCAGAAACACAACAGAAAAAGAAAACCTCAGACCAACATCCTTGACAAACATCATGACAAAAATCCTCAACCAAATACCAAACCTCAACCAAATACCTCAAACCAAATCCAGCAGTACATAAAAAAAGCGAATCCACCAGAATCAAGTAGGCCTCATCCCCAGGATGCATGGTTGGTTCAACATGTGCATTCCTTTGGGTATATACTCAAAAGAATATAAATCATTCTAGTATAAAGACACATTAATGCCTATGTTCATCACAGCACTATTCACAATAGCTTGGCCAAGACATGGAATCAACCTAAATGCCCATCAAAGGTAGACTGCATAAAGAAAATGCGGTATACACCATGGAATACTATGCACCCATAAAAAAGAATGAGATCATGTCCTTTGTAGGAACATGGATGAAAAAGTCATTACCTTCAGCAGACTAACACAGGAACAGAAAACCAAATACTGCATGTTCTCACTTATAAGTGGTAAGTAAATAATGAGAACACATGGACATGTAGAGGGGAACATAACTAGATAACAAACCTGCACACGTACTCCTGCATTTAAAATAAAAGTTAAATGAAAAAAAAAAAAAAGGGAAAACCTAGATGATCTTGGGTATGATGATGACCATTTGGATATAACACCAAAGGCATGATCCATGACAAAAATAATTGATAAACTGGACTTCATCAAAATTAAAAACTTCTATTTGTGAAAGACAATGTAAGGAGAATGACAAGACGAGCCATAGTCTGGGATAAAATATTTGCAAAAACCACATCTGATAAAGATTGCTATCCAAAATATACAAAGAACTCTTAAAAATCAACAACAAATAACTCAATTAAAAAATTAGCCATAGTCCTTAACAGATACCTCACCTAAGATGCACAGGTAGAAAATAAGTATAGAAAAAGATTCTTCATGTCATGTGTCATCAGGGAATTGCAGATTAAGGCAACAATGAGATATTACTGCATATCTATTAGAATAGTTAAAATCTGGGACACTGATAACATCAAACTTTGGCAAAGATTTAAAGAAACAGAAATTCTCATTTATTGCTGATGTGAATGCAAATGGGATAGGTACTTTGGAAGGCAGTTTGGTAATTTGTTACAAAATCTAAATATACTGTTACCCTACAGTCCAGCGATTGATATTTACCCAAAGGAAATGAAAACTTCTACTATCCACATAAAAACCTGCACACAGATGTTTATAGCAGTTTTAATCATATTTGCCAAAACTTGGAAGCAACCAAGGTGTCCTTCAGTAGGTAAATTAATAAAGTGTAGTATATTCAGAAAACAAATGATTATTTAGTACTAAAAAGGAATGAGTTATGAAGCCATGAGAAGACATAGAGGAACATTAAATACATATTACTAAATAAAAGAAGCCAAGAATAAAAGGTTACATACTGTATGCTTATATATATATATTGTTATATATATATAACAATATACATATATAATAATATATATATATAACAAAATATATGTTATATTTTGGAATGTCATATATATATGGATATATTTTTTGGAATATATCCATATATATGGATATATCCAAATATATATATATTCCAAATATATCTAAATATATATATATTCCAAATATATCCAAATATATATATATTCCAAATATATTCCAAATATATATTCCAAATATATCCATATATATTTGGAACGTCATATATATATGACATATATATATGACATATATATATATGACATATATATATGACATATATATATATGACATATATATATGACATATATATATGACATATATGACATATATATATGACATATATATATGACATATATGTCATATATATGACATATATATGACATATATGACATATATATGACATATATGTGTGTGTGTGTGTGTATATATATGTATATATATATATGTGTATATATATATGTGTGTATATATATATATGTATATATATATATATATATGTATATATATATATATATATGTGTATATATATATATATATATATATATGTATATATATATATATGACCTTCCAAAATATAACAGATTCTAGCGAGGTTGTGGAGAAAAACAAATACTTATACACTGTTGTTGCGAGTGTAAATTAGTTCAACCATTGTAGAAAGCAGTGTGGCAATTCCTCAAAGAGCTGAAAACAGAACTATCATTTGACTTGGCAATCCATTAGTGGATATGTACCCAAAGGAATATAAATTATTCTACCATAAAGACACAGGCATTCATATGTTTATTGCAACAATATTCACAATAGCAAAGATATGGCATCAATCAAAATGCCCATCAATGGTAGACAAGATAAAGGAAATATGGTACATATATATACCATGGAATACAATGCAGCCATGAAAAAGAATGAGATCATGTCATTTGCAGGAACATGGATGGAGCTGGAGTCCATTATCCTTAGCAAACTAACACAGGAACAGAAAACCAAATACTACATGTTCTCACTTATAAGTGGGAGCTAAATGATGAGAACACACAGACACATAGAGGAAAACAACAGACACTGGGGCCTATATGAGGATGGAGGGTGGGAGGATGGAGAAAATCAGAAAAAATAACTACTGGGTACTAGGCTTAGTACCCGGGTGATGAAATAATCTGTACAACCAACCTCTGTGACACAAGTTTACCTATAAAACAAACCTGCACGTGTACTCCTGAACCTAAAAAAAAAGTTAAAAAAAATACGGAAACCAAATATACGACATGCTAGAAAAGGTAAAACTATGGAGACAGTAAAAAGGTCAGTGATTGTCAAGGGATCAGGTTGTGGAAGGGGTGAATAGGCAAAGCACAGATAACTTTCTAGGGCAGTGAAAATACTCTGTGTGATACTCTAATGATGGATACACTTTATTACATATTTGTTCAAACTTATAGAATATACAACACTAAGAGTGAACCCTAAAGTAAACTATGGAATTTGGATGATTATGATGTGTCAATACAGGTTCATCAATTGCAACAACTGTATCACTCTGGAGGGGCATACTAATAATCAGGAGAGACTAGGCATGTGTGGGACTAGGGGATAAATGGGAAATATCTTTACCTTCCTCTCATTTTACTGTGAGCCTAAAACTGCTCTAAAAAATAGTCTTAAAAATTTGAAAGTATAATATGTAATGGTTATATTCTCAGAGAGTGTATATATAGTACAACTATATAAAACAGAGGGTCAATAAGGAGAGCATATGCATATGTTTTTATTAATCATATTGATTGTTGTAACATTTGTATTGTTATTCTGAGACTATTGTGTATGTAATATGAAATAAAACAACTGAGCATTTCTGGAATATTTTTAAGAGATACATCTGTAACATAGAAAAGAATAGATAAAAATCCTGTAGTCTAAAATTTGAGTTAGAAGGATCAGCATGATTTCATGAGCTATTTTATACAGGTAGACACAGATACAAATACACTGTAGTTCTGACCACTGGAAAAGCCTAGAAAAAAATGACCAACTCAGTAGCATTGAACATCTCTAGTAGTGCACATATTAGTATTGATATCCTAGTTTCTAAAAAACCAGAGCATCTTGGAGAATTGCTGACTCCAGGTCTAGGGCAGGAAATGAACAAGACGATCCTGTAACATCTTGCCATATCAGATAGTCACAAAGCTCTCAAAGACAATTTGAGCCATGTCAAAAGACTCAGGAACCAACTTGAAAAAGTTACTACTGGTCAAATATAGGTAAATTTGAATTTCAATAAGGATAATAAATGTGATGGGTTAAAACCCGTGAAATATGTTTAAATCTATGAGTTCAAATTAACATTAAAATAAACCAATTTGTCACTTTCAGATGATGCTAAAAAAATCAACTCATTATTTTAAACATTAGTACATAGAAGGAGAGGATCAAATATTTATCTTGGTTAACCACATAGTAGTAAGCACCACTTATTGATTCAGTTTTCAGCTCTCTCCACCCTGATAATTATTCCATGTATCCATGTATTGTGCTCTTTATTTCAGCTATCATGTATCCCATACCAAATATTTCCAATTGTTTTAAAATATAACTCACTGTTCTTATCCATATTTATTATAGCTTACCCAGTGTCTTAAACATGTTTATTACAGTTATTTTTAAGTTTGTGTTCTATATGTTCCAATAATTCTGCTTCAGGTTGTATGTGTTTTTCAATTAATTGTCTTTCCCTTAGAGCTAAGATCAGAAGACTTATTTTCAGTAAAGGGTCAGATAGTATTTTTGGTTTTGTGCACCAGACAGTCTCAATCACAATCATTCAACTCTGCCATTGTAGTGCGAAAGCAGCCATGAACGATAGGTCAATGAAAGTGTGGGTATGTTCCAATAAATCTTTATTTGTGGGCATAAAATTTGAATTTTCATATAACTTTAATGTGTCACAAAATAGTATACTTCTGTTTCCTTCAACCATTTAAAATGTAAAAATTCCTCTTATTCAGGAGCCATATAGCAGCAATGAAGGGCTGGATTTTGTCCGCAGGCTGTAGTTCACTAACCACAGTATTGAGCAGTTGCACTCCTCAGGTATCTGGCTATTTAGACCTGTAAGCTTATGTTTCCCTGAGTATTTTGTCTGCTCCAAATCCCTATATTTCCTGTACATAGGGAATGCTAGTACATGTTTAAATAAATACTTGTTTGGTTAGGAATTAACAATGGGCTTAGAGTCTAACTTTCTGTTAATCCTTCTGTAGAGATCGTAAAAGGACCCAAAGCACTGAGATGGGAGCTATTTGCTCATTGTCCCTCACACTATTATAGCAAATCCCAAGGACCTGGTTTATTCAGTTGAACCTATATCTCTGATAATTATTTGATCTTCAAGTCTAGTATCTTCAAGTCTCTCTCTGCTCCATCTTCACATGGCCTTTTTCTCTGTACGTTTTCAATCTCCGTCTCCCTCTGCCTCTCACTCAAAAGGACATTTGCAACAGCATTCAGTCCTCATACAGATAATCTAGGAAAATCTCCCCATTTTAATATTCTTAGCTTAATCACATCTGCAAAATCCTTTTCCAAATAAGGTAACATTTACAGATTCCATGGAGTAGGACCTGACATTTTTAGGGTGTTCTTTTTCAGTCTACCTCATGGCCTGTCCACAGGTTTCTATTTAAGGTCATATAGACAGATATCAAGCTTGCCTAGTTTTTGAACCAAACTGTATTAGCAACGTAAAACTCACACTTAAGGGGAGAAAGCAGAGCCAATACCCAGGTGTCTCTGAAGAATATGTGCCTTCACTTTCTAACAAGCCAATGGCCCACTTCCCTGAACCTTCCTGACAGATTTTCAGTGCATTAGAATAAATTTTAAAAGCCTTACCATGACCTACAAACCCAGCAAGACCTGGCTGCTCCTTGCTTCTGTGGCTTCATCTCATGCTGCATTCCCCTGTGCTCAGGAGCTCTTTTGAAACAAGAACTTAGGAAGTACTTAGCACTCAATGGGGCTCTGTACTTGCAGCCCCCTCTACCCCAAAGTCTCTTGTCCCAGATTTGTTCTGTCATCTCCTGCTTTTCATTCATGTCTCAGTGTGAATGTTATCTCCTCAGAGACACTGTTCTGTATTATTTTCTTTTATGTCTTACAAGCATCTAAAATTATTTTGTTTATTAATTTGCTTATTTCTCATGAATCTTAATAGAATATAAGCTCTCTGGCAGTGGTAACCTTACTTGTCTTTGTTTCCTAACATATCCCGATGCTTAGCACAGAATTCATTCTCTCTCACACTAGGCTCTTAATAGAAGTATGATGAATAAATCAATAAAGTATATATACTATACAAAGGAAATAATTCGAGATTTTACTATAGAAAACCTCACAAAAACCTCTCTAAATGAAACCCTATGAGAGGGAATGCCATTTGTGTAAAAGCACAGAGGTGGCCTTAGTCGGCATCAGCATTAGGTGGGATTGTTATCTCAGAGGAAGTGAAAGCTAGGAGTGAAAAGATATTTCTAGTTTATAGCCACATCTCAACATTGGTAAACTTTTTACAAAGAACAAATATCCTTAATATAGATATGAGCTTATGCTCTTAAGAGAAAAATCTGAATGTATTCTAAAGATAATGTAATTACTTTATCCATAAGCATATTTGACTTAGGACAAATGATAGGAGAATAGTGCTCATGATGCTTTATGATTTTAAAATGCTATCTATAAAAAGGAACTCTCTTCCAAATTACTTTCTTAAAAGTTCCCTTAAGATGCACATTGCAAAACTGGGACAGGTGCTACTTCTGAACATAGAATCACAAAATCATTACGTTGCTGGTAATATTCCGAGGGATAAAGTTCTTCAAAGACAAAATCATTAGCTACTCGATAGCTCTTCTTGCTTGATAGATGATAGTATAATCAGTCAAAAATACCATTTCAGAACAGCCTTAAAATCCAATCCTGTATCCTTCTTTAAATTAATAACAAATAATCTTCTTTTTATAAATCAATTACAGGTAGAAAGTGACATTAAATAGTTTAAGATTTATATAGAATGAAATGGCAAAGAAGTCTATAAATACCTACCCCAAGTTACCAATTTATCACTTACTATTATGTGACTTTGGACATGTCATTTTCCCTCCCTGGCTCTCAAATCTCTCATCCTCACAAAGACGGCAATATTACAAATTATTCCTAAGGATATGTCCAGCTGTTGGATTTGGTAATTTACTTACATTAAAAATCCAAGACCATGCTGTGATGTATAATGACTCAAGCAAAATCTGTGAGACAGAATCTTGAGCCATTGTCATGGTTTCAAAAAGTCTTCTCTACTGACATAGGCATAAATTTGGGTGAGGAGTGATTATCAGAAAGCACTATGATGGTTTTCCAAAGACAGACATGGAATCACGAAAGTTGACCCCTTAGTCCTACCAGCCTTGGTCTTGTTAAAATTGAGCATTGTTACCCCAGTTTGAATTCTGGTTAGTGACACACAAATTGTGGTAGCCATACATGTAGCTATTTGCTCAAATGTTATCATGTACAACCAAAATGCATTCCAATCCATTTCTGTATGACTCTTCAGAAGTAGAGGCTAGGAAATTCTGATTTGACTGCTCACAAGACCACTGCCCATATGGACCGAATCATTCCTCATATCTGTAGAAGGCTCTCAAATACCATCAATACGAGTAAATGACAAAACATATCCTTTTATCTAAAAATCCCCGCTTTTGATCACAGAAGTCCTAACGGTACCTGGTATTCTCATACATATCATAAAAGTAATCACGTTTTCTGCTTCTTCAAAGACTTTCCATTTGGGGAGATGCTTGGGCTTATTTCTTGGAAGGGCTCTATAAAATGTTCGTGACTGTATCTTTAAGTACAAACCTGTTCTCTTTTTTATAAGAATGTTTCCACTGAGCATAATGCAGTCTTTATGAATTTTTAAACTGGTATTCTTCTCCTTTTCTCACTAAAATGGAAAATGGGCTTCTCAGGAAGCTTTTCTGAACCTTAAAAATTTTAAAGAATATGTTTCCTTTTTCCGCTTCTAAGTTTAGCACCAGTCTAATCATTTCACGATCTAATCACTGTAAGATGGATGTTTCTGAAAACCATCAATAAAACACTGGTCGCCCTTTGTAGTCTTTTATTATAAAAGAAATGTAACCCTTTTGTGGCCCATTATCCTTATGCAAGGATAATGATTAAAAAAAAAAAAAAAAACTTTCACAGGACTGATTCTGATTCTTTGAGGGGGGCCTCTGAGCCTTCCTACCACCATGTTCCCTTACCTCCAGATGCTCAGGGACCTCACACTGCCACTACATGCTCCAGATTCCAAAAATTCTCATCTCTGAGCCCTCATCCATGATGCCTGATTCTCAGAGATCCATGAAGAATAACAACCTGACACACTTTCACAGTGAAATTCAATGTTGATGAGCGCTGCCATGTCTCCTTTGGTGTATTGGTGTCCTTGGAGCTCCCCAGGAGACCTGAAGACAGACAGGCTGAAGCCCAGAGCACTGAAGGCACAGTGTTAGGCCTATACTGGTGGCTGGTCCTGCTTGTATGCATATAAATAAAAATAAAATATTTCTAAGACCAAATAAAAGTTATGATAAGGTAGAAGCCTGCTTATAACTTTCAGTAGCATGCCATGTCCTGCACAGAGTAACAGAGTAACAAGAGAATTCTCCCTACTCCAACCTTTCCCAGGGATTTTTCCTCCTAACCACTTTTATCTTAGTGGAAAGAAGAATGCACAGTAAGAAATGCATCCCAAATTAAACTAGTCTTACCTGCTCCCATCTTAAGGTTCATCGTAGTAGAGAAAAACCTTCAAAAGAAAAATATATCTCACTCCTCAAACCCTGAAAAGCAAGGACTTCTTTATTGAAAGCTTCTTGAGAAGGCAATACAGGGCAAGTCACGAAGCCAGTCTGTAAAAACTTCTTAGACATACACCTCTCTCCCAGTGTCCCACTTCACTTCTTGTACTCTTTCTCTCCCTCTCTCTCCTGCCCTTGGTTTTCTTGTCTCCTTTTTCTCTCCCTTTTCATTCCTTTTATGTGGTGTAACTTGGCCTAATCTAAGGTTCTATCAGTCTCTCCATTTTACCCTCCCATCAGTTTTGTGAAGATACCATATTTTCCCCATCTCTCTCTCTCATGTGAGATAGGTGAGACTTGGTGATAAAAGGATGAGAGACTGGGAGGCAGGAAGGGCCAAAGGACAAGGGGCAGAGTAAATATGGATTTATCACCTCAGAGGCAGAGAGCACGTGCAGACAAGCCCTGTGCATTCCAGTTATGGGGTCTAGCAGATATGCTTAGCTGTGGTTCAGGTAGGAAAGAACAATGCAGGGGATGGGGAGGGAGGCTTTCCACTTGGCAAAAAAGAATATGTGTGAAGTTCATATAAAAAGTACAAAGTCAGATGAATAGCTGTGTTGTTGGGAAAAGCGGGAAATGGAAAGAAGCTGAATCCAGCCCCTAGGGAGAAGGGCTGTCACAAACCAGAGAAGCTACCCGGACTCCAGGCAAGAGACCATCTTGATCAAAAAGGGAGTTTACTCAGAGGTTACAGAATAGTTTGCAGAAATGAAGAAAAGCTCCTACAAAGGACAGAAACCAGATCAACTCCATGGAACTGTCAGGCAGGAATGAACGGTCAGTGCATTTAGGATGCCACCATCAGGATGAATTCGTCTCCATATTTTTTTCTGTTTTAATATAATTTCACTCATGTAGGAATTAGGATTGAAATGATAGTGAAGACAGTAATAAGAACAAGCAGGAGATGTAGGAAACACTGTGACTTGGAGGCTTTAGGGGCACCCAGGACCCAGCCCTAGAACACTGGATAGGTCCCCTGGGACAAAACTTACTGCTCTGATAAAGAATTGCTGAGTTCATGGAAGGAGGCTAGCAGTTCTTGATATCTCCAACTTTACACTCTCTGAAACCCAGGGGAGCAGGTGCTGATACTTCCAGAGTGAGCCCCTGTAGTGTTCTGAGTGCCGGGTGGAAGCACCAAGGAACAGAGAGCAGACTGCTTCTTTTCTTTTTAACAAACAGGACTGTAATATAAGAGCCTAAAGACTAACTGTGGTCATGATTTCCAGGAGGCACCTATGAAAATGTTGGACAGTCATATAACCTGATTCAAACTAGAGCTCTTCATTTCTTCCCATTTGACAGTGCTACTGGTATTAACTAGAATTGTAATATGACAAAGACTACCAAAGATCACATGTGAATGTAACATGGTCTGGTTCCTAGCAAATTTTAAACATTTTCAGAGTTTTTTTTTTTTTTTTTTTTTGCTCCTAGTCTTCCTTACCTAGAAAACTAATGTTTTCTAATTTTCTGTGATTCCACCAACAGAGGCAGATAGTAACATAAAATCCTTTGTACTATGATACTATGGCTAAATACCTTGTCTTCTCCCATAGGCATTTACATTGAAAATACAATACACCAGGCTTGAGAATGTGGATTTAACAGAGAATTTTCTGATCCTGTAGGGCAATGGGAAGGAGAGCTATTTGGGGGTAGAAATAATTCTAATATTCTTCAAAACTGAAAATAAAGGAGTCTGTTCATTCCACCTCTAAGTAAAGCTGATATTAACTTTCAATTCACAAAAATAATTCTGTTGTACCTAGGGGTACAGTAATATATCTGTAGAAAATTTCTGACTATTCAGTATCACTGTCAAATGAGAGACCATAAGCCCTTTGCAACAATTAATCAAACAAACATTTTTTTTCTCATGGAGGAACAAACCGTGCAGCAGTACTGGATCCTAAGCTGACCTGTAATAAGTTGCTTGGAAGTTATCAGGGAACCAGTAAAATTCCAACAACAGAACTACTGTCAAAGGTTCATTTTGACAATCAATGTGGCACAAGTAAAGGATAGTGACCCCACAGCAAGCCATACTAAAGACAGGTCATGGCAGTTCTGAAAGAAAAATAAATGACCAGGAAATTGAGTTCTCATCAAGCAAGCAATGGCATGCAGAACTCAAAAGAAACTCACCTCTAACATTCAATATAATACTTATATTACTAAAGGGACATAACACATGGGTCTCATCTTTGTTCCTACAACTGTCACAGTTCATTGTCAGAAAATATAGTGGTACAGATATAATGAATGGAAAATATTCTGCAAAGGGTACTTTTTGGGAGGAACTCTGTAATTGATTGCCATTTCAAAATAGTGCATCAATGGCTAATGATAAGTTTAATAATTTAGAAGAAAAATACCAATAATAGTGAGAATGATGTATCATACTCAAGGTATTAAAAGGTACCCTCGATCACAAATAAAACATAATATAGAAAAATGTATTATTCTGCTATTACCCACAGCATTGACAACATTGCCTCAAACAATGTTCTCTAGCATTAAGCTAATGTTGTTCATTTGAATTTTACTGGTTTTAAAGTTGTTTTAAAAATTTACTTTGTATTCAGCTTTATAACTAAAAATACTGCAAGTTAGAGTTCTAGTTTTATGTTTGTACATGTTTTATCATAGTCTGAAAATAATTTAAGCCCACCTTGGGAGTTTAGGTTTTTTTTCTTTTAAAAGGGGTCCATGAATAACTTAAGGTGGAGAAACACTACATTTTACTAGAATGAGAGGCAATAAAACATGCTTGGTAAGGTCTAGGGCAATGGGGTCAGACTAAGTCTAAAATCCTGGATCCAATTATTTTCGACTATGTCATTTTCTGCAAATGCCTTTGTCTTCCTTAGCCTCAGTTTCTATCTGTCAAGAGACTGTAATTATAGCATCTCCCTCATATGGTTGTGGTGAAATGAGATAAAACACAATGTACTTAAAAAAATAATGCCTAGCTGGTGGTAATTGGTAAAAAAAAATGCTATCAATTAAAAGTAACAATTTCAAGGTCTAACAGCTAATCTAACAGACATCAAGAAAAAGCAGAGAGGAGCTGGGTTTTCTATGTGCTCTTTGATGAATGACAAACCATCTAGGGGTAGTATTATGGTTTGTGAACCACTGAACTATGAGACCTAGATGGATCTCATTGCCTAGAAATGATGCTATAAATAAACAAAGAACAAGGACATAAAAAAATTGTGTTTATAGATTCAAGCCCTATCACCTCTGAAGCTAATACAAAATCTTCTTAGCTCAACACCCACATGCCCAAGTAAGATGAGAAAGTTAGATAACTTGGTTAATTTCAAGGCTGGCCAACTAATTCTGCAGACCACAAGTCCTAGTTTTATAGGAAGTACCCATAATGTGAAGATGTTTTGAGAATACACAGCATCCTAGGTTTTTTATTTGTTCGGTTTTCTTAATCTTGTCAATGCATTTCTGTGGCACCGTGGAGCATCTTTTGTATGACCCTTGATACAGCATTGACTTAGCATGCTACTAGCTATATTCTCCATATCATCTTTTTAAAAAGGATAAATGATTTCTCATATAGCAGTGATTCTCAAGTACAGTCTATTTTCCTTCTGATGGGTTCAAAATTGGGAAAAAGTCACTCTCTTAAATAAACAGTGGTGGGAAAATTGGATATCCACAAGAAAAAAAAAAAGAAACTAGACTCCTAACTTTCACCTTATACAAAAATTAATTCAAAGTGGATCAAAGACTTAAATCTAAGACCTCAAGCTATGAAACTACTAGAAGAAAACAAAGGAAATGCTTCACAACACTGGGCTGAGCAAGGATTTTTTTAAATGAGACCTCAAAAGCACAGGTAACAAAAACAAAAATAGACAAGTGCAATTACATCAAATTTAAAAGCTTTTGCACAACAAAAGAAACAACAGAGTAAAAAGACAACCTGCAAACTATACACCTGGCAAAGGTTATTACTCAGAACACACAGAGTACTTAGCAGAAAAACAATTTTAAAAATTGATTGAAGAAATGGGCAAAAGACCTGAATAAACATTTCTCAATAGAGGAAACACAAATGGCAAACAGGCATATGAAAAAATGCTCAACATCACTAAACATTAGAGAACTGCAAATCAAAATCACAGTGAGACACCTCTTGACTCTAGTTAGAATGGCTATTATCAAAAGGACAAAACAAGTCTTGGTAAGGATGTGGAGAAAAGGAAACACTTGCACACTGTTTGTGGGATTGTAAAGTAGCATGGCCATTATGAAAAACAGTATGAAATTTCCTGAAAAAATTAAAATAGAACTACCCTATGATCTAATAATTCTACTCTTGGGTATATATCTGAAGGAAATGAAATCAGTACGTTGAAAAGATATCTGCACCCCCATGTTTCTGCAACTCTATTTTCAATAGTGAAGATATGGAAGCAAACTAAGTGTCCAACAACAGATGAATACAGAAAATGTGGTACATATACAGAATGAAGTATGATTCACCCATAAAAAGAGTAGAATCCTGTCATTTGTGATGACATAGATGGACCTGGAGTATATCATGTTAAGTGAAATAAGCAAGACAAAGAAAGAAAAATATCCTATGATCTCATTCATACTTAGAATCCTAAAAGAAAAAACAAATTGATATCATAGAAGTAGAAAATAGAACAGTGTGCACCAGAGACAGGAGAGGGAGGGAGAAGAGAAAGATGCGGACAGGTTGGTCAATGGGTACAAATTTACAACTGGATAGTAGTAATAAATTCCAGTGTTTTATTGCATAGTACAGCGACTATGGTTAACAGTAAGGTATTGCATATTACAAAATAGAAGAGAGGCTTTTGAAATGATAAATGCATCAGGTGATGCTAACTACAGTGATTTGATCATTATATAACGTATATGTATTAAAGCATCACATTGAATCCCATAAATATGTACAATTAAATGTGCCAATTAAAAATAAAAAGTAAAATAAATAAATTGAACAAAAATGAATGCAAAACCTTTTAGCCATCTGCATAGATCACATATAGCATGACACAACCATAAAGGAATTAGCCAGAAATAGACAATTATTAGAACAAATACGTGTCTTAAAAAACAAAATATATATAAATGGCTTATATAGAATATTTGTAATTTCAGAATATAACTGACAAAATTGAAAAATAAATTCAATGATGAAAGTGCAAGTTTTTCACACTGTTCTTAACAATAGCTTTTCCTAAAAGTTTATTTTTAGAATGCCCAAAATGAAAACGAACTGAACATCTGGTTCTTTCAGTGTCTATTTTGTGCCATAATTTACAGCAAACAATTCATATCCAGTTCAGAAATGTGTGCCCTTGCCTTACTCCAAGAATATTCCTGCACCAAAATACACAAATAAATCGTTATTGGAATGTACAGCATCTTTATCATTTAGAACTGTTTCCATCAGTTTTCTAGAATTAAATTTTATTGTGACTCCCCAAAAAGGAGACATGTTTGCTATAGTTAATGGTAACTGATTGGTAAATTATTACAGTTAATAGGAAATGATCTGTAAATATTACACAACAAACTTAAATGTCCAAAGAGCTAAAGTAATCTACTTTGGAATGAACATCTAATTCAGTTAACTCTCAGTCATTTAGTGTCTCAATATCTTGGTTGAGAAAACATATTCCCCAGATGAGTTGAGAGAGGGAAAGGTGGAAGCTAAGTGTATGTGAGGGCCTATCTGTGCCTAGTGTACCAGCAGGGCCCTGTGCCTTCCTTCTGAATTTGGAGAATGTGCAATCTAGCCATAATTGGAAATTATTTAACTCTGTATCCATTTAGTCTTGAAATTTTCATTTTAATTTGGTAAGACAAACAAATCCTTATTCTCTAACAAAACCATGTTTCAGACCCAGTGGGGAAGGATGAGGAGCCATAGTTAAGTTCCTTGCATAACAACAACAACAACAACATCAGCAACAACAAATCCTGGATAGGTTTCATTGGCTTCTACTTCCTAGATTCAGAGGGACAATTATTTACAGAGGCTGACAAAAATGTTCTTCTATTTTCTCTTCAAACATATCTTGGTATTATTTCTAAATTTTCAATGTGAGTTTCACAATGGGACCCATCATATTAGTTTCATTAATCAGCCAGTCATCTTTGGAGACCAAGCTCTAAGATCTGCCCACTTAATAAAACAGAATATGCAACAGCTGAATGTGTAGAACAACTATGCCACCAAACACATAAAAAATTATCGTAATCTACTTTACAGATAAATATTTGATAGAAATGCTGAATGGGGTCATGAAAACAGAAATTAAATCTAGTATGTTAGGAGTTACAGTCAACTGGAGATCAATCTCATAAAATGTATTAAGAGGTTATAATGTATAATAAGAAAGGGAGATTCAACGCAAAATTCCAGTTCACTCATACATTTTTCTTTAATAATGAAGAGCTCTTTCACCAGAATATAATCAAGCAAAGAAAGTATCTAAATTGCAATTTAGGTCAGCTAACATCCTCTAGCAAAATAGAATAGTCACATACTGCATTTTATTTATCTCAAAAACAAACATATCATAACTGTTAACCAAAATATCTTGCAAATGTTTGCTTTCTCCAAGATTCCTGATGATTCCTAAAACTTACCTCACACTTAGATGATCTGATCATACATTTCACTGAGAAAACAGAGCTTATTCGCCTTTTTCTCCTGTATCTCACTACTGGCCTCCAATTATTTGCTTTTGAAACAAATGCCCTATCATTTGGCCCCTCCAACCTCACCAGAGCAGATCCTTGTACTCATATACCAGCTCATATCCCATCTTGCCTCTTCCTGGGTACTACTTTAAAAATTATCTGCCCTTCCCTCCCCTTCTTTTTACAGGGAAGTACATATTAAAATGGCTATGTGAGCAAATATAAAAGTAAATGGAATTTTAGAAAGCACTATTCTGCGAGCGCTATGAGATTTGTAATATATCCAACAGTAGGCAAAAGCAAATGACAACAAAAAACAAAAACCATTAAAATGATGCTGACTCCAATGACTGCTGGATAGGAATGGAAAAGCAAAAAGACACAGAAGTACATCCCCAGCACACTTCTGTCTTACATAGGACCTGAGTACTTGGTTTTACCTTTCTCCATTTTGAGATCTTTTTCTAGCAACCTGAGAGGTGCTGAGAGTTAGAACATCCAAAGGGCTAGAACACGTCAAAGGCAGAGCAAGCAGTTTCCTTTATCTATTTTGAGGGGTTTTAGAAGCACTCCTTCAAATCCAAGTAGGAGTTAACCATATTGCTAGGCCCAACATTTTAGTGTTTTCCAATTGGTTCAATGGTCTCTCTTGACATAATTGTTTGGCTTGAACAAATAAATGAAGCTAAGGTCAGTGTCTCTTCTCCAGTGCAAGGTTTTAATCCATGTTCTATTTTTTAAAAATGTAAATTCTTAAAATAAGGATCAGAGCCTAACCTGTTGTGTTGAAACAAACATTTCTGTGTCTGAAAACCAATAGAAATGGTATGGTGTGGGTTTCAGAATAAATGACTACCCAAAAGGCCTATTTTGAAATGACATCTCATCCCTGGCTGTTTAAGGTGAATACTTAGCCATGCCAGGAAGCATGTTAGGAATCTGTCAGGTCACTTTCTTACTAGAAGCTAGTGTCAGGCCAAGGCTGTATCGACCAAAGGCATCAACTCCTAGTTTGTCTACCCAAGGGAGTCCCTATCTCACCCTCAGCAAAAAGTAACCTTAAAAGTTAACAACACTAACAAACAGCATGTCTTGGAAAATAATGCAGAATTGAAATCTGTTATTTTCTATGTTTAGTGAAGCAAAGCACATGCTTACTTCAAATAATAGTTTCCATGGCTACACCAAACATACCCCTTCCCCCAGCACAACCAGTTCCAGAAAGTCTCCGTTGGCTATTACTAATGTTCATAGTGATACGTCTAATGACACAGACATGACTTGACCCTGAAAATCCTCCCAAATCATCTTGTGTCACCGTCTTTCCCTTACCCCATCATACACATACTGTTGTCTTTCAGCTTCTTCAATATTCCAAGCGTATTTCTACCCTTTGTCCTTCCCTCATGCTGTTTTGGCCTGAAACATTCTTGCCTTTTTCAACAAAACTAACTTTTTTAAAAAATTTAATTTTTTTACTTTTGTGGATACATAGTAGGTATGTATATTTATGGGGTACCTGAGATATTTTGATTCAGGCATGCAATGGGAAATAATCACATCATGGGGAATGGGGTATCCATTCCCTCAAGAATTTATCCTTTGAGTTACAAAAATCCAATTACACTATTTATTTTAAAATATACAGTTATTATTGACTATAGTCACCCTGTTGTGCTATCAAATACTAGGTCTTATTCATTCTTTCTAACTACTTTTTGTACCCATTAACCATCCCCACCTCCCCCTGGGTCCCTCACTTCCCTTCCCAGCCTCTGGTAACCATCCATCTATTCTCTACGTGTATGAGTTGAACTGTTTTGATTTTTAGATCCCACAAATAAGTGAGAACATGCAATATCACCAAACTAACTTGTAATATCCTTCAGTCATTGAGTAATTTTCTTTTCCCCAATGAGACAGAGGAATTTGTTTCATGCTTTCAAAGTTTCCTATGCTCTTTTAAAATCTTATCAAAATTATAATTAAATGTAGAATTCTTTGTGTGATGTCTCTATCCCCCATACACTGGAAACATCATGAATTCTGAGATTATTATGGTCTTGTTTACTGCTCTGCCCTCAACTTGGCCCATTGTCAGGCACATAGTAGATGTTATTGATACAGCCAGATTCATAATTGCTGAGAATTTCTTGGGCAGAAAGTCTCAGCAAATCTCTCACTGGAAAAATACATTAGGTCTATTTACGCACTTGCTATTTCCTAATGTTATAGACTACTTTGGAAATAAAAGACACAATCTTAGTCACAGTAGCTAACTGAGTTATCATTTTTGTTCTTACTGCTCAACAACTCACTTCTACCTACCCAAATCAGTGATACTTATAGATTTGAAAAAGAATATTTGTCGAGTAAAAATTTTGTCTGGTTAATCTCAGAAGTCTACAGCTCTGTATCAATGCTGTGGCATTCTCTGCTGGAGAATTAATAGATGTAATTAGCAACAACTCTTGGATTACTCAAGGGGCTCTTAGGCTGTACCTTAGCCATAGATCTTACTGATTAGGCCTTGGAAGAGACCACAAAAAAGAAATACTGGTAAAAGGTTGACAGTGTAAACAAAATTGGGTTTTGTATTAAACTTATACCATAAAAGTGGAAACTCAGGATCCTTGAACTAATTGAAGGGTCAGTACACTTAGAAGAATAAAGGAGAAATAACTTATCCTTCGAAGTTCAAAGGCACTTTTTGCAGAACTTTAATGACAGGAAAAATCACACTGAAAAGGGTCATGGCTTCACTGCCACTGGGTCCACAAGTGAGGGTAGGCTGTGTTACTTTTACTGCCAAATCCTTTATTTCATATAGATGCACACATAAATACACAACCATGAGAGGTACTGGAATGGTTTCTTTGTGAAATATGGGTTAAAAGTACAGAAGAACACATGTCAGACCTAGATAGGAGTGGTGACAGAAAAGGAGAGGCTATGGAGCCAGGACAGGCATTGCGTAATAATCAGAGGGATCAAGTTCAGGTCAGCAAAGTCAGACAGAACAGGTAGTTATCACAGGCCATGAGGAAGGGATGTCCCAAGCTAGAAAGGCCACAAAGCCAACAAAGATAGCTACACTGAGCAGTAGTAGAAAACCTCTACTTAGGAAGGGTTTTCTTCTCTCTGGTAATTTTTCCTTTGTTCCGAGTATGCACAGACACCTGAGCTTCTGTCACATATTGACCATGGCCAGAAAAGACATGGAAGCCTGCACTGCTGGAAACATCTAACTTGAAAAATGTTTTGTGTAGTAACGTTTGATCTTTTGGCTTGGTTGGTGGACTGGCTGACATACTGATACAGGGTCAGAAATTTATTCTCAATATCTGGCTTTATCATGATGACCCACCAATGACTCTACAAGCAAACCTTCCATGACTAACACCAACTCCGACCAACCTAATGTAGTGGCCCTCCCCTGTGATCTCATACAACATTACACAGTCCTCTGTTATTTTCTATGATTTCTGAGTAACCTGCCAATATCAGTAGATTTGTGAGGTTGGTTTCACATGGCACAAAACAGTTTCCCTGATGTACCATTCACACTAAATTCTTCCAAGAGTGGAATTTCCACATTCAGGACTAGAATATTTTGTGCGGTTTATGTCCAGGATGACAGATTTGGCTCTGGAGGAGGAGATAATTACAGCATTATATTTTCCAAGTAATATTTCATGTTAACTTTTTTATGGACTGAGAAAAGACAGGCCTGAGGAAGAAGCCACATCTGAGCAAAGAACTCTTAATAAGAGCAACTACTTCATGTTACTTAGACGTTATATTTGCACTAAAAGGATGCTGGGCCAATAACTCTGAGAAAATATGTGATTAGGATTTTTATCCCAAGAGAAATATGCATTTGGCAACTTGCATCATGCACCAATAATGTGTATCCAGCAAAATATTTTGCTCAGATCCCACAGAAAAGGGCCAGGCCTTTGCCGAAGTGCTTTTTCAATAATGGCATATATATGTTTACTTTATCTGGAATGTGCATAGCAGACTAAACCAATAGCAACCACAGTAAGTCACAGAAGAAAGAAAACAGAACATCTCCCTCAGATTTTAAACTTTTGCTGTCATTAGAAAAACACTAGACACTTTTAAGAAAAACAATAGACACTTTTAAGCCTTCACATACATTGACCCCAATAACTCACAGCAATAATTTTGAAGTAGAAATTATTACCCTTCCTTCACAGATGAGAAAACTGAGGATCAGAGAGGTTAAGGAACATGCCCAAGCACACAGTGCAGGTAAGTGATGGAGCTGAAATTTGAAGTCATGTCTATATGACTCGAAATTTTATATATTTCATGTGTCATTAAGCTGATCACCATTCAGAGCCTCATATTTGGTCTGGAGAATAATAAAGTTCAATGAGAAGACGAAAAGCTTAAGCAGAAGGCAGAGAATAACCCAGCATAAATAAAGCCTAAAGACTTAAGGGCCAGGAAAGAATGATGACACCCGTCACCAGAACACCAGCTGAGGGAGATTTCAGTCTTAAAATTTTAAGATTTTGTTCATTTGGAAGACAATTTGGAAATCAAGAGCCACAAAAAAAATTCATATCTTGTGTATTAGTCCATTCTTACACTGCTACAAAGAACTACCTGACACTGGGTAATTTATGAACAAAAGAGTTTTAATTGACTCACAGTTCCACAGGCATAACAGGAAGCATGACTGGAAGGGCTCAGGAAACTTACAATCATAGTGGAGAGCGAAGGGGAAGTAAGCACCTTCCTCACATGGTGGTGAGAGAGAGAGAAGAGGGAAGGGAGAAGTGCCATACACTTTTAAGCCATGAGATCTTGTGAGAACTCACTGTAATGAGAATAGCAAAGGGGAAATCCGCCCCCATGATTCAATCACCTCCCAACAGGCCCCTCACCCAATACGGGGGATTATAATTCAATGTGATATTTGGGTGGGGACACAGAGCCAAACCATATCATCTTTTAACTCAGATATTATACTTCTGGAAATCTATCCTAAAAATATAAACCAAAATATGAAAAAGCTATATGCAAAACATTCTCATCCAATTGATGTTTAGAATAACAAAGAAAGGTGGTGGGGGGAGAACATAGAACATAAATGCCAAAACTGGGTAAATTATACTCTAATCAAATAATGACATGTTGTACAGCCAGCATGTCTATAAAATATCTATATATATTTGAGTTATCATGAAAAATTCATATGTTTTAAGTATAACAAATCAAAACATATAATTACATGTATAACTATAGTAATATAAAAGGCAGCTATCAGGTTATTTCTGTTTTGCCTTAGTCTATCAAGGAAGTGAGATGGTAGACACATTTACCAGAGTTCATTAGATTACTGGACACAAGATCGAGTAAGACAAAAATACAAAAATAAACTTAATGAAAAATTGCAATTAGAAAAAAATGATATATAAGAAAATAACACATTGATAATCCTACCAAAATATTCAAAGTATCTGAGAATTAGATGAATAAAGAACATGCAAGATTATGGAGAAAATTGTAAAAATATTAGAGAAGTACATAAAACCCCCATAGATGATGGAGTTCAGTATCTTTTAAATGCCAATGCTTTCAAAATAATCTATAAATTCAACACAAGTTCAGTCCAAATCCCAGAAATATTTTTTTCAAGAAACTTCAATTTCACTAAGATTATTCTCCAGAAAAAAAATTTGCAAGTTTTTACAAGATACTCATTGTAACACTGTTTGTAATTGAATGATAAAACATTTAGAAATGAGGTTTAAAGATGAATAATAAAAACAGAATAACTTAATGGCATAACTGATTCTTAAAAATATATTTCTTTGTAATACAAAAGAACTAATGTGACAAATAGAAAAAACTAAGATAAGTAAATCCAAATATATGTAATTACATTAAGTATAGACAAATCAAATGCTCCAATTAACAGATAAAAATTATCAACTTGTATAAAAAGCCAAACCAACTATGTGTCGCTTCTAAGGACACACCTTAAAGACAAGGACAATCAAAAATAAAAAACTTTGAAAAGTTGTAAAAGACTGAAAAGCTATATAATGAAGACACTAACAAAAAGAAGGCCAATGGAGTGATGCAAATGCCAAAGTAGGCTTAAAAGCAAGAAGTTTTAGTTGAGATTGAAAGGGATATTTCATAATTATAAAAGGATCACTGCAAAAGGAAGGAATAATTCTAATCATAGAGATTTTAACACATTTCTCCAATAACATGTAAAAATAAATAAAATCAGTAGATATATAGAAGACTTTTAAAATATAAATAGCAAACGTGGCCTAATTGAAGCACATAAAATTTTATGCCTAACTTCTATATAATATATACACATTGCTTTAAGGGATATGTAGGACTTTTACTAAAATAGACCATATGTGGGGCCATAAAGAAATTCTCAGCAAATTTCAAAGCACTGAAATTATCTTGAGCATGTTCTCTGACAAATGAGCAAGGAATCAGTAACAGAAAGATAACTAAAAAATTCTAAATATTTAAAGTAATTCATTTCACTTCTAAATAACCAATCAATTAAAAATTAAATGACAATAAAATAATAAAATATTTAAACTGAATTATAATAAAAATAAAACACCAGAATTTGTGGGTCTGCTTGAGGGAAATATGAAGCCTCAAATGCATATATCAGAGAAGAAGGGCTGAAAATCAGTAATATCAAGAATCTAGAAAAGAACGGCAAATTAAACCCAAACATAATAGAAAAGAAATAATAAATACTGGAAATCAATTAATTGAAAACAAACAAACTGGAAAAGTTTAAGTTAAAAGTTGGGTTTTTGAAAGTAAGATTACTACTTCTTCCAATAAAATTGATAAAACCCTGAGAGAGTAATTTAGAAAAAAGACAAACAACACAAATTACTAACATGAGAAGTAAAAAGTGAAGCATCACTACAGATCCTGCATAGATATTATAAATGTAATGCAAAATGGCAATAAGCAACTTTAGCCTAAAACCAGAACATTCAGGTAAAATAGGTAAACCCTAAGGAAAAATTACTTACAACTGAGATAAGAAAAAAACCCAGAAAATTTGAATACCTCTGATATATTAAATATTAAAACCTATAATAAAAACTTTTCCACAGAGAAACTTCAAGCCCAGTTGGCCTCAAGCATGACCTCCTCAAAATATTTATTATCCTGGGTTGAATACTGTCCCTTGAAAATTCATGTCCACCTAGTACTTCAGAATGTGACCTTATTTGGAAACAGGGTGTTTAGAAATGTAATAATTTAAGATGAAATCACACTGGATTAGGGTAGGCTCTAAATTAAATATGACTGATGTGTTCATAAGAACAGGAGAGGATACCTGGACACACAGGGAGAATGTCTTGTGACAACTGAGGCAGAGACTGAAGTGATGTGTACACAAGGCAAGGAAAGCCAAGGATGGCCAGTATTCATCAGAGGACAGGAAGAAGCTAAAAAAGGTCCTCTCCTAGAGCCTTCAGAGAGAACACAGTTCTGCCAACACCTTGATTTTGGATTTTTAGCCTCCAGCATTGTTAGAGAATAAATTTATATTATTTTAAGACAATCACTTTGTGCTAATTTGTTACAGTAGCCCTAGGAAACTAACATACTTGACCTTTGTACAACATGGGGGTTAGGAGCACTGACCACTTGCGCAGTCAGAAACACACGAATAGTTTTTGACTCTTCTAAACACATGTATAGTTTTTGACTCTTCTAACACTTAACTGCTAATAGCCTACTTTTGACCAAAAGCTTTACCAGTAACAAACAGTTAACACATATTTCTTATGTTCTATGTATTATATACCGTATTCTTACAATAAAGTAAGCTAGAGGAAAGAAAATGTTCTTAAGAAAATCACAAGGAAGGAAAAATATATTTACAATTCATTAAGCCGAAGTAGATCATCATAAGATCTTCACCCCAACATCTTCACATTGAATTGGCTGAGGAGGGGTGGTCTTGCTATCTCAGGATGGCAAAGGTAGAAGAAAATCTACATATAAGTGGAACCAAGCAGTTCAAACCTAAGTTGTTCAAGGGTCAGCTGTGTATTTCTGAAAGAGTAACAATCTTAGTCAAACTCAGGGTACAGAAAAAAAAAAAACCTTTTTCAATTCATTCTATCAGGCTATTGTAAATGTGATACAAAGCCTAACAGAGACACTTAAAGAAAGGATAGTTAAAAGCCAGTATTCCTTGTAAACATAGGCACAAAAATTCTAAGCAAAATGTTAAAAAATGAAATACGTACGCAACAATCAATATGTTACATTAACAAAATAAGAAAAAAATAGGATTTAAAAAAAAAATGCTTAAAAGACATTTGATAAAATTCACCAGCCACTCATCAAAAGTTTTACCAAGCTAGAAATAGAAGGGAACTTTCTTAGTTGACAGGAAGGAAGGAAAAAAAACATGATAGACAAGCATGCAGAGAGGCTTGGAGGCTGGCTCACAGCAAACATTATATTTATGTTGAAGTAATGAAAGCTTTCTCCCTGAAATTAGAAAAGTTCTACAATGACAAGTGAACATTACATCGAAGTTTCTGACAAGTGCAACAAGGGGAAAAAAATGTAAAAGGGTTGAAGTGGAAGAAATAAAGTCATTATTTTCAGATAAAATGATTACATTCATAGAAAATTCAAAAGAATCTATAGATGAGTTATTGGACAACAAGTATAATTAACATTATGCTTTAAAAAATCTAAATCAACAAACCACTTTATTTTCACAGCCTAGAAACAATTAGAAAATAAAATTAATAAAAGAAAATTTACATAATAGAGAAAAATTATTATTTTTTTATTTTTTTATTTTATTTTATTTTATTTATTATTATACTTTAAGTTTTAGGGTACATGTGCACAATGTGCAGGTTAGTTACATATGTATACATGTGCCATGCTGGTGTGCTGCACCCATTAACTCGTCATTTAGCATTAGGTATACCTCCTAATGCTATCCCTCACACCTCCCCCCACCCCACAACAGTCCCCAGAGTGTGATGTTTCCCTTCCTGTGTCCATGTGTTCTCATTGTTCAATTCCCACCTATGAGTGAGAACATGCAGTGTTTGGTTTTCAAAAAAGAGCCCGCATCGCCAAGTCAATCCTAAGCCAAAAGGACAAAGCTGGAGGCATCACACTACCTGACTTCAAACTATACTACAAGGCTACAGTAACCAAAACAGCATGGTACTAGGACCAAAACAGAGACATAGATCAATGGAAGAGAACAGAGCCCTCAGAAATAATGCCGCATATCTACAACTATCTGATCTTTCACAAACCTGAGAAAAACAAGCAATGGGGAAAGGATTCCCTATTTAAGAAATGGTGCTGGGAAAACTGGCTAGCCATATATAGAAAGCTGAAACTGGATCCCTTCCTTACACCTTATACAAAAATTAATTCCAGATGGATTAAAGACTTAAACCTTAGACCTAAAACCATAAAAACCCTAGAAGAAAACCTAGGCATTACCATTCAGGACATAGGCATGGGCAAGGACTTCATGTCTAAAACACCAAAAGCAATGGCAAAAAAAGCCAACATTGACAAATGGGATCTAATTAAACTAGAGAGCTTCTGCACAGCAAAAGAAACTACCATCAGAGTGAACAGGCAACCTACAAAATGGGAGAAAATTTTCGCAACCTACTCATCTGACAAAGGGCTAATATCCAGAATCTACAATGAACTCCAACAAATTTACAAGAAAAAAACAAACAACCCCATCAACAAGTGGGCAAAGGACATGAACAGTCACTTCTCAAAAGAAGACATTTATACAGCCAAAAGACACATGAAAAAATGCTCACAATCACTGGCCATCAGAGAAATGCAAATCAAAACCACAATGAGATACCATCTCACACCAGTTAGAATGGCAATCATTAAAAAGTCAGGAAACAACAGGTGCTGGAGAGGATGTGGAGAAATAGGAACACTTTTACACTGTTGGTGGGACTGTAAACTAGTTCAACCGTTGTGGAAGTCAGTGTGGCGATTCCTCAGGGATCTAGAACTAGAAATACCATTTGACCCAGCCATCCCATTACTGGGTATATACCCAAAGGACTATAAATCATGCTGCTATAAAGACACATGCACACGTATGTTTATTGCAGCATTATTCACAATAGCAAAGACTTGGAACCAACCCAAATGTCCAACAATGATAGACTGGATTAAGAAAATGTGGCACATATACACCATGGAATACTATGCAGCCATAAAAAATGATGAGTTCATGTCCTTTGTAGGGACATGGATGAAATTGGAAATCATCATTCTCAGTAAACTATTGCAAGGACAATAGAGAAAAATTATAAAATATTCTAGGTATAAATGTAATGAAATAGAACTACAAAACATTACTGAAGCTTTTATTATGTTTAGGAGGCAGAAAATAGAGAAATTAAATTGGATCCTGGAGTATCTTCAGGTTTTCTTTCCGGTCAAGAGTAACTCAACAAACCTTAGTTGCTCAAACTTGCATATTCCCAAGAGGGGTTTGTTTCCATGATTGGCTCTTGGCTGGCTACTGGGAATTGAGATCTTGGAATGTTCTAAGTGATAAAAGTATTTTGCATGCTCAGGGCTTGAACTAATTTGAGTATTTTGAGCACACAATGTGATTTATAGTAAACACGTGCTTTTCTTCTGCAGGGACTTGGAGCTTCAGTAACTGCAAATAGTCATGAAGACACTATGTGTCTATCTGACTGACATCTGATTTTTAAAAATCCTGGACTTCTACACTTAGATAAACTTTCCTGGTAGACAACATTTTGCATGTATTGTCATTATTTGTTGCTAGAGGAATTAAGTATGTCCTGAGCTGTTCCTCTGGGGGAAGACTCTTGGAAGCTAACATCTGCTTTCCTCCAGATTTCTCCCCATTCTCCCTTTGCTGATTTTGCTTTGTATCATTTTGCTGTGGTTAACGGTAATCATTAGTACAATAACTTCTCTCTATTGAATCAGCAAACCTGGGGTGGCTGTCAGGACCTCTGATGCAGACCCAAACAATGAGAATAAGCTATGCATCCTATAAAATCAGTTTTTTAAAAAATTCATTAAAAAGGTGAGGCCACAAAGAAACCTATGACTTAAAATTTAAGAAAGATTGTCCTTCTTTTTAGGGGAAGGAATAGACTAATAGCTTCTTTTATCTTTGCCAGAGAGCAACACAAAAATAGAAGAAAGCTATCATTGGCATGATTTTTTTTTAAAGGCAGCCAAAATTTTAGCACACTTGAAAAAAAATTATGCCTTGGCATGGTAATTTAATCTGTATCTATTTGCCAACCTTTGTCCATAGTTCTTCATCAATTGCATACGGTAATAATCTGGGGCACATAAGGAACACTGAGATATACTTTTCCTGAGGCACAGACATGAGGTACTTACTGACATATGAGGGCAGAGGAGAAGTGAGAGAAACCCCACAGGCACTCCAGACTTTATCTAATAATGAATACCAAACAAGAATAGTCTATTGTTGTGGGAAGTCAGGGACCCCAAACGGAGGGACCGGCTGAAGCCATGGCAGAAGAACGTGGATTGTGAAGATTTCATGGACATTTATTAGTTCCGCAAATTAACACTTTTATAATTTCCTATGCCTGTCTTTACTGCAATCTCTAAACACAAATTGTGAAGATTTCATGGACACTTATCACTTCCCCAATCAATGCCCTTGTGATTTCCTATGCCTGTCTTTACTTTAATCTCTTAATCCTGTCATCTCGTAAGCTGAGGAGGATGTATGTCACCTCAGGACCCTGTGATAATTGCGTTAACTGCATAAATTGTAGAGCATGTGTGTTTAAACATTATGAAATCTGGGCACCTTGAAAAAAGAACAGGATAACAGCAATGTTTAGGAAACAAGAGAGATAACCTTAAACTCTGACCACTGGTGAGTGGGGTGGAACAGAGCCATATTTCTCTTCTTTCAAAAGTAAATGGGAGAAATATCACTGAATTCTTTTTCTCAGCAAGGAACATCCCTGGGAAAGAGAATACGCGCCTGGGGATGGGTCTATAGATGGCCCCCTTGGGTGTGGCCATCTTCTATGGTTGAAACCGTAGAGGTGAAATAAATCCCAGTCTCCCATAGCACCCCCAGGCTTATTAGGAAGAGGAAATTCCCATCTAATAAATTTTGGTCAGACCAGTTGCTCTCAAACCCTGTCTCCTGATAAGATGTTATCAATGACAATGGTGCCTGAAACTTCATTAGCAATTTTAATTTCGCCCTGGTCCTGTGGTCCTGTGATCTCACCCTGCCTCCATTTGCCTTGTGATATTCTATTACCTTGTGAAGTACATGATCTCTGTGACCCACACCTATTTGCACACTCCCTCCCCTTTTGAAAGTCCCTAATAAAAACTTGCTGGTTTTGCGGCTTGTGGGGTGTCACAGAACCTACCGACATGTGATGTCTCCCCCAGACTCTCAGCTTTAAAATTTCTCTCTTTTGTACTCTGTCCCCTTATTTCTCAAACCGGTTGACACTTAAGGAAAATAGAAAAGAACCTACGTGACTATCGGGGCAGGTTCCCCAATAGTCTATGACTGAGAGAAAGGCAGGAAGATAAACCTCTAGGTACTCAGATCCCAAGTACTGCTAAAAGGAAGGATCTGATGACACACTCAATTAATTTAAATCACGTGGTTGATTTGAATCCAATTAAAACAAAAAAACCTAGCAAACTGGGTCAACTAGACCCAGTTTAACTATAGGCTAAATTGGCTTAATACTATACAACAGACTCAAAGAAGAGGCAAGCCCTTTTATGGTCATGTATTAGTTTGCTAGGGCTGCTATTAAAAATTACCACAAACTGGGTGATTTAATCAATGGGAATGTATTCTCTCAGAGTTCTAGAGGCTAAAAGTATGAAATCAAAGTGTCAATAGGGCTACAAGACCCTTGAAGTCTCCAGTGAAGATTCCTGCCTTGCCTCTTTTTGATTCTGGTGGTTGCCAGCAGTCCTTGGCATTCCTTAGCTTGTGACCATATAACAGCATTCTCTGCCTCTGTCTTCACAGAGCCTTCCTCCATGTGAGTGTCTGTCTGTCTCTGAATCACTTTCTCTCCTTATAAGCACACCAGTCATTAGAAATAAAGCCTGCCTTAATTCAGTGTGACCACATCTTAACTTGAATACATCTGCAAAATACCTATTTTCAATTAAGGTCACATTTACAGGCACCAGAAGTTAGGACTTCAACGTATCTTTTTTTTGTGAGGGGGAGGTTAGGGTGGGAGGAGGGACAAAGGACACAATTCAACCAACAGAATACAGATGTTATTCATTTAAGTCTTCACTGTTCTTTTACTAACAATGTTTTGCATTCATTCAAAAATCAGGAGATCTGAGAAAACAGGAAAATGTAATCAGTCATCAAGAGTGAAGATATTCAATAGAACTAGATCTAGAATGGCCCATGTGCTAGAATTATCGAGCAGACTTTAAAATAACTGTAAATTTGTTAACGAATCTAATGAACAATGTAGAGAACATGCATAAATATAAGGGCAATTTCAGTAGAAACATCAAAACTCTAAAAAAGAGCCAAGTAGAAATTCTAAAATAAAGAATTATTTTGATGGGCTTACATGCAGAGGTGATATAGCACAGGGAAGAATCAGTAAACTTGAAGATAGATGAATATAAATTTTTCAATCTGAAAAATAGAAAAAGTATATTTTCTTAAAAAAAAGAATGGAGTCAAACATGAGAAAAAGTTGAAAAAATTACTCTCCTGCAGATCTGTACTACAAGAAACACTAAAAGATCTTTAGTCTGAGAGGAAGTGATGCTGGAGAGAAACTTCATTGCAGGAGAATGAATAAAGAACACCAGAAAAAGTTAGAATATTCAGAAATACATATGACCTTGCATGTTAAAGTGATTCTTACTGTATGCTTATGAGTATATATAAACATGTATTATGTAGACATCCATATATTTAAATTCCATTAAAAGTTTGTTTAAAAAATGAGAAAGAACTGTGATGTATAAAATATGTAGGAGTAAAATATATGGGAACAAGAGCACAAAGAACAAGAAACTGTTAATTATAGCATACTGTTCAAAGGCTCTTATGTTGTCCATGAAGCCGGAAAATATTTGTTGAAGACAGTTTATGATAAAGTAGAGGTGCATTTGAGATCTCAAGCACTATACAATCCAATATGAGAGCTGACATGCAGGTATGGAGCCCCCGAAATGTGCCTAGTCAGAAATTATGTGCTGTAAGTGTAAAACACAACCAGATTTCAAAGACTTGGTAGAAAAAAGTTAGAATGTTTATATTTATTAGAATATTTATATTACATTAGAATATTTATATTATATTAGAATATATAAATATTAGAATATATTTATTACATTTGAAATGATAATATTTTGGACATATTATGTTCCATTAAACAGTAAGATTATTTATACCTGTTTATTATTTTTTTTTAGCATGGCTATTAGAATTTTTTAAATTATGTATGACCCACATTTATGACTCATTGTATTTTGATTGGACAGTACAACTCTGGCAACAATTAAAAATAACATAGAATAGACAAAGATAAAAATTAATAATAGTGGGGGACTTCAACACCCCATTGATAGTGTTAGACATATCATCAAGGCAGAAAACTAAGAAAGAAATTCTAAACTTAAATTTGACACTTGACCAATTGTTCCTAATAGACATCTACAGAATTCTCCACGCAATAACCACAAAATATACATTCTTCTCATCTGCACACAGAATACTCTACAATCAACCACATGCCCATCCATAAAACAAATCTCAATAAATTTTAAAAAACAGAAATCGTACCAATCATAATTTCAGAACACAGTGCAATAAAACTAGAAATGAATACCAAGAAATAAGATGTCTCTCAAAACCACACAATTGCATAGACATTAAACAACTTACTCCTGAATCACTTTTGGGTAAACAATGGAATAAAGGCAGAAATCAAAAAGTTCTTTAAACTTAATGCAAACAGAGACAAAACATACCAAAACTCTCTGGGATACAGTCAAAATAGTGAAAAGAGGAAAGTTTATAATGCTAAATGCCTGTAACAAGAAGTTAGACCTCAAATTAATAATACAATATTGCACCTCGAGTAACTATGAAAACAAGAACCAACCAACCCCAAAGCTATCAGAAGACAAGAAATAACTAAAATAAAAGCAGAACTAAATGAAACTAAGATGCAAAAATCCACACAAAAGATCAACGAAATCAAAGTTGGTTTTTTGAAAGGATAGACAAGATCAATAGACTTCTAGCTAGATTAACAAATAAAAAAGGAAATAAGATCCAAATAAGCACAATCAGAATGGCAAAGACGACATTAAAAGTCAGTTCCTAGAAATACAAAAGATCCCCAGAAACTATTATGAACACCTTTATGTACCTAAACTAGAAAATCTAGAGGAAATGTGTAAATTCCTGGAAAGACACAACCTCCCGTGACTGAACCAGGAAGAAGCTGAAACCATGAACAGACCAATAATGAGTTCCAAAATTGAATCAGTAATGAAAACCCTACCAAACACAAAAAGCCCTGGACCAGATGGATTCACAGCCAAATTCTACCAGATGTACAAAGAAGAGCTGGTACAAATTCTACTTAAAGTATTCCAAAATTTCAAAAAAAAAATGGACCCCTCCCCAAATATTCTGCAGAGCCAGCATCCTCCTGATATCAAAATCTGGCAGACACACAAAAAAACAAAACTACAAGTCAATATCCCTGATAAACACCGACACAAATATCCTCAACAAAACACTAGCAAACTGAATCCAGCAGCAGATCAAAATGTTAATTCACCACGATGAAGTAGGCTTCATTCCTGGGATGCAAGATTGGTTCAACACACACAAATCAATAAACGTGATTTACCACATAAACAGAATTAAAAACAAAAACCATGTGATTATCTCCCTAAGTGCAGAAAAAGATTGTGATGAAATCAAACATTTTTCATGATTAAAAAAACCTCAACAGACTAGGCATCAAAGGAAAATAACTCAAAATATTAAAAGTCATGTATGACAAACCAACAGCCAATATCATAATGAACAGGCAAAAGCTTGAACCATTCCTCTTCCGTGCTGGAACAAGTCAAGGATGCTCACTCTAACCACTCCTATTCAACATAGTATTGGAAGGCCTAGCCAGAGCAATCAGGTAAGAGAAAGATAGGATAGGTGAGGCCAAGATGGTTGGCTAGAAGTAATATCTAAGGAGGTACTACTCACTCTCGGGGTCCCACACGTGCTGTTATCATCCTGAGAGTGAGCGCTTTCTTGTTGCATCTCAGGCACCTCTCTTGACTCAACATAGTTTCAGTCCTGCTCCTGGCAGCAATACTCATATAATAGCCATAACACCCAAATATCCATCATTTGTAGAATAGATATGTAAACTACATAATATTTATAAAGTTCACTATACAGCAATAAAAAGAATAAACCGGTAATAAGCAACTACATGCATCAATCTCATAAATAGAATGTTGAATGTAAGAAGCTTGCAACAAAATAGTATAATTCCATTCATATAAAGTTCAAAAACAGGTAAAACTAATCAATTGTAGCAGAGATCAGAATAGAATACTCACTAGTTTTAGAAGGGATAATGATTATTAGGGTGCCCAAGGGAGGCTTCTGGAGTCCTGGCAAAAGTCTATATATTAATCAAGGTAGCAGTTACATCCATCAAAGTGACAGTATATATACTTGGTAAACATCCATTGGGAGGAATATGATCATTATATATAAAATAATATGTAACTTATGATTTGCTCGCTTCTCTATGTGTCATTCTAATAACAAATATATATTTTAAAAACCAAGCACAGGAACACGAACACCAAATTCTGGATACCGATACATGGAGAAAAAGGAAGGTGGAGACCATAATGGGTGAGGGGTAACAGGGGAATTTACCTGTATCTGTAATGTTTCTTTTATTTTAAATAATACTGAAACATATGGCAAAATTGTAGAATTTCATAGAGGTAGGTAATGCATACTGAGTTCATTGTTTTTCTCTGTACATTTCGTTTTCAATGTTTCATACCTTTAGAAAACCACCATGAGTTATCTGGAGCTGGGATGTGATCCACCAAGGGGCCAGTACAACCCACAAAATTATTAAAACCTGTTGCAAAATGCTATAAAACTTTGCTTTCTCAAGTAGGCTTCTCATTGTGCCCAACACCGAGGTAAAACATGATATTTGCAGTAAGTGCTCCTATTTCACCGGAGAAAATAATGCAAATAGAGGAGAGCTCATTTTCACTTTCCTTTAACATTACAAGATTTGAAAGTGAAGCTTCAGAGAGAATATCCTGCCCATTGTGTCTGTCAAAGTCTGATGTTCTTTGAAAAACAAATGACAAGTGGTTCTGTTCCAAACAAAATTGATTTGGGATCAGTGAGAAAAGTTAAAATTGTTAACTTTACCCTTGGGAGGGCTTATGTGTGACAAACCTACAACCACACATACTCGCACTTTTCCTTTCACCTTTTAAGCACAAATTTAAAAGAAACTAGTAGAAACTGGACTTTTCACTGTGTTTCAGTTAGCCTACTGCTTACCTCCATTTCAAAAGTGGCTTCATGTATTAGAAATAAAGTAGCTAAAAATATTTCACCACCCCATATGTATGCCACTGTTGAGAGTACAAGACCCCCTGTGTCATTCTTATGGTCAAGACAGAACCAACTGGACAGCTTTCATATGTATGCACATTAACGTGAGGTTCCACATCCAATCTGTGACAGGCTCACTATAAACTGGTTTTCTCTCCTTGTTCTGGGCTCAGTTAAAAGGGGGAAGAGCAGCAAGGATGTCAGGGATGAATACAAGGGGACACGGTAACAAATCGACCATATGGAAAGACCAAGGTAGGTCTCATCTAGTGGAAAAAGCAATGGGCTTAAGACTCAGAAGCTCTACATTAGAATTTTGACTCATTGGGCTGATCAATCATGAGCAAGCCATTTTAACCTCTCAGAGTCTCCTTTCTGCAAAACGAACAAGGTAATACCTCTCTCTGGAGTTTTGTGTGGTTTACATGCTGAGAAATGTTGAGAATATTACATGGGCATAAGGCATTAAGAGAAAATGCCTATCATTGGCTCACCTACCGTTAAAAGCCTTGAACATACTATCCAATCTAACTTTGTCAAGTTTCATTCTTTTCCCCACACACCCATGAGTCACTATATATTGGTTTCATTTCTTCCACCTCCTCTACAACTTCTCAACAGGCCATTAGTTATCTTCATAACAGACTATGAGGTGACAAGGTATTTGAGCTTTTGCACTTCTTGGCTTCTCTTTTCAGTTTTGATGTGTCTGAAATGCTATCTTTTGGTTAAAATGAATAATGTGTCATTCACAAGCAGATCACTAAATGACAGGCACTTCTCAAAAGACAAGTTAACCAGACTTGTTAACTAACTCATGCTGTTTATCAGGATGGGGTCAAGAAGGGTCAACATTTTGAATAGAAGTGATTATGAGCCACGACTAAGGAAATCTTTCCTAGCTCCAAGCAGCCCTATAGATTTGTCAGACTGCATGCTTTGGAACAAATTGCAACAAAATTGCTAAACTTTGTATTAGTTTTACCTTACATGGCAAAAGCATTTGCAAGTAACAGGCTGGTGTTTTATATTTCATCCAGGTTGAAGGGATATTTTTTTATTTTTATGTTTTTAGTTATTATAGATACATATTAGCTGTGCAAATTTATGGGGTGTATGTGATATTTTGATACAAGCATGCAATATGTAAAAATCAAATCCGAGTAATTGGGATGTATATCACCACAAGCATTTATCTTTTTTTGCATTAAGAACATTCCAATTCCACTCTTTTAGTTATTTTGAAATACACAGTAAGTTATTGTTAACTATAGTCTCCCATTGTGCTACCAAACACCAGATCTTATTTCTTGTATTTAACTGTATTTTTGTACCCATTAAAAATATATTTGTGCTAAAAATGAGATATTTATTTTCCCCCAGCTCATATTTCTACTGACTTTGAGCTTGAGATTCTTCTCTTCACAAAGTAGGAATGATGAGGTACTCACTCTTCTTCTCTTATTCAATCCTTACAAAGGGAAGAGGAATCACTGATCTGATTTTTCACATTTCACTGGTGGGCATGGTCACTAATTTGGTTACTTCATCTTCCATCCTCCTTTAAGAAACGGGGTCATGGTCAATATAGTTGGAGGAATAATTCACTTTAGACCAACATTGCAGGCCTGGTTTACTTCAATTCAGAGGAGAAGAAAACAGTACGCTCCAATTCAACCTCAGTCCTTAGCCTTGTCTCCCAATCAAGTTTTACCAAACATCCTTGCATTTGAGTTATAGGGCAACTGTTTTCTTTTCTTTCTTTTTTTTATTTTCTATTTTTTTTTCAGACAGAGTTTCACTCTTGTCTGCCAGGCTGGAGTGCAATGGCGCAATCTCGGCTCACTGCAACCTCTGCCTCCTGGGTTCCAGTGATTCTCCTGCCTCAGCCTCCTGAGTAGCTGCGATTACAGGCAGCCCGCCACCATGCCCAGCTAATTCTTGTATTTTTAGTAGAGATGGGGTTTCACCATGTTGGCCAGGCTAGTCTCGAACTCCTGACCTCAGGTGATCCACCCACCTCCGTCTCCCAAAGTGCTGGGATTACAGGCATGAGCCACCCCACCCGGCTGGGGCAATTCTTTGCTATTAGTTTAGAAATCTTGCATATGTGCTTCATCAGAGAGACCTCTAGGAGGAGAATGGCTAGAAGAGTCAGATTCTGCTTCCTTGGAGGCCTAACGAAGTTCATATCTTACAGCCTCAAGTTAGGATAATGAGCTTGAAACCATGCCTTATAATTATGGAAAAAAAAAAAAAAGAGGAAGGTTCATGCATCCCGAACTGTCAGACCAATCCCACTTTGTACTGGGAAATGTCCTTGGATAATGCAGTATTAACATTTCATCAAATTTAGTTGTCCTCAAGAAGTACCTCTTGCTGAAAAGGTTAATGCCAGCTTTCAGTTAGCATGAATACACTCTTCTGCCAGGTGCTATAGCCTGTAACTGGGTATAATCAGTCTTCCCTAGCAGCCCCAATATCCCATTCTGATGAAATCGGGGAATGTAACGAGATTGCTATTAGTTTGGGCCAGAGCCCAGAGTCACAAGACAGAATTCAGTATCAGGTTACAGTTAAGGGTCAGAAATGAGGCAGCAGACATAATCAACCAGCTAGGGAATAACCTCTGACCCACCATCAGAAAGTCATAAGGTTTTGGTCAATGTAAAACATTTAAGGGTAAAAGGAACCTGCACTCAGTAAGCTTTGGGATAAAAATGGAGACCGCTGGAAATTTTTCTTCCTCTTGCACTGGAAAGACATCTGAAAGGAGTATCCGGGGCCTGAGGTCAGTGTGATTACTATTGTCAAGTTACACTCAAATATTCTAGGTGGGAAGACAGACTGTGAAGACATTTTCTTGACATTTTGTTATGCAGCAGGATATTCAAAAAAGAGAATGAGGAATAATCATGTGTTTAAGCATCCTTTACTCTCCCCCTCTCCATATGGAAAAAAGAACTGATCTCCATAAAAGGTGTTCCTCTGATATTCTGGCAAGACGTCAATTATACTGCTGTCTTAGTTCAAGAGATAGTTGATCATAACATCTGCTCTTCCTTCATGCAGATTTTTGAGTTTCCAACAGTGTCTTCACACTCCGTCAACATTCTCTTGCTACAAATGGGTAGTGCCTAAACAATCTCCTATGAAATTCTAGTTGCTGGAGATGTTTTTTCTCTTTTAGAGAAGGTGAGAATTTGAAATAGTCAAACATAATTTTTAAAAGTAAAATAACAACCCTTTCCTGGAGATTCACAAGGCATATTAATATATCAAAGGCAAAAAAAAATTCACAAAACGCCTCTGATTAACATTTTCATAAACATAGCATTTTCTGAAACATGAGTGCCTATAAATCTTTCTTGTCCATTTAACAGCTATTAGCATCCCGCATTACAGAACTCACATTCAGAGGGGCATATATTAGAAAACTCTGTACTGTAACTTTATGGGCACAAAGAGATTGGAAGTATGTAAAGATGACTTGACTCTCACTTCCTATTCAAATCCTAATGACAGGGAAAACTGAAAAAGAAAAAAAGAAGCGTCTCTTCTACAGGCACACCTGAATAGTTCAATTTATTGTCAACATGTATGAATTACTATATTTATAAGTGGGTTACCAGAACATACCAGAAATTAGTAGGCTGCAGCACTATTATATCTAGCTGAAGCAGACTGCACTGATTATAGTCAAACCGTTGTCTGAATCCCACACATGCAAGCAAACAAATCCTTTTTTGCATCACTCAGGCCTACTAGAAAGACCCCACTGTGTCGTGCTTGAAGGTTATCCCAGTGGTAGCCCTTCCTGAAGCTTCACTGGCCTACCTTTTCACTACCTTTCAAGTTATCCTTCAGCTGGGCCATTCCAGCCGCTGGGCCTGAGGTCTCTGGGATTAACCGCAAGCGAAGTGAAAACTACATGCATTCAGGGAAAAGAAAGACCTGTTGAAGTTAGACATTACTGTATTAAAAATCAACCCAGTACTTAAAGGTATACAACAATGATTTAGTATTGCCCATGGTGTTGAGGGTCGTTGGACTCAGCTCTGTGATTCTTCTGCTTCACATTGTGTAGCTGAAGACATTCGTGTGGATGTATTCAACTAGGGGCTCAACTGGGACTGGAACACTTAAGGTAACCACTTATCATTATCCATATAATATCCATTAACCACTTAACCATTAACCACATCACATGGCCTCTCATCATTCGACAGTCTAGTCTGGACTTCATCACAGCACTGCAACTGGGCACCAACAGAAGGTAAGTGGGATCTTCTAGTTGTTGCAAGGCCTCTGCTCAGAAATCCCAAAATATCACCTGTGATGCATTCCATTGGTCAAGACAAGTTACCATGCCAGCCCTGATTTCACTCTTGGTGGGAGAAGCAGTGTGCACCTAGAGGCAGGAGGGTTGTGGGTAGCTGTATTTGGAGACCAACTACCACAATACCCAACACTTCACATTCTACAGCTTTGGTTGGTGGGAAACAGACAAAACTCAATACCATTCCTGGCAAAGAGGGCCCTATCTGAGGCACATTCAAAACTTGACCCTTTTTATCTAGACCAATGCAATCCTTTACACACATGAAGGAAAATCATTACAAACCTCTCCTGGGTCCAGTTGAAACAAGCAAAATGAGCACCTAAATCATTCTAAACTCATTTTTTTAGGAGATAACTATTATAATTTATCCTGGATTAATATTAAGTCCCTTTATGGAAAAATTGGGCTCCCTGACTACTCAGTAAATTATAAATTAAACTTTTAATTCTGTTCATGCTTTAATTCCTCACTAATACTCTTCATAGGAAGTAAGCAAGCATCCTCCTTACCAACAGCCCAACTGACCTCTGAGGCTGGATTTACCATATCCAGAGAACAAAACCTAAATATGTATTTAACATTGTTATCACCTTCTCTTAAAGGAGCCAGCTCATATTTTTTCTGCATTCACCATTTGAAGCATAAGAGAGAGATGAGTGGGCTAGGCAGCTGCCTACGTAGTACACTTTGTGGGATGCTAAAAGGAGACCCTGCCCAAAAATAATCTTCACAGCTGCCACGACATGAGGCCTGAAATTCCACCACTCTTTTTATTCACTTATGATCCTGACTCTTCTGGGATTCAAGGACAGAATGCAAAGATCCCAAGATATGGGAACACATGGGGTTGTCATCATCCATTAGCTTCCTGGCTCAGGGTAAAGAGCTAAGCCAGGGATTTTGGACAATGAGGCACAATCAGGCAGGGTTGGGGGCCTGTGGCTTGGCATATTCCTGAAGGCCAGAAAGGCAGATGTGTGTCCCATAGTCTTCTGTATGTGTTTGGAGATGGGAGCACTCCAAGAGAGGGACACAGAAACAAGGCATGCCCCTCCAATTTCACAGTGCCCTGAAGGGTGTTTGTTGGGGTGGAGGAAAGAGAAGGGGCAGTATAGGAGAGGGAGTGAGCGAAGGGCCAAAGGATACATTCTGAGTACATTCTCCAAAACTTGGGATTTAAAAACGCTTCAAAAGCGAACATTGTGTCATCACAATGGTTAAGACCAGGATGAAAAGGCATAAAAGAAGCAGGTGCATAAAGAGAGTTAAAAGGGAAATTTTCAAATTAAGCCTTACCCACCCATGAAAGGTGCTGAAAAGATTGTAAACCAAAATAGCTAATGTTTATATTACACTTCCTATGAGTCAGGTTATGTTTTAAGAACTTTTTAATATATTAGTTTATCACATAGTCTGTGATACAGGTGCTCTTAC